>NC_000006.12:97495032-97646547 GCF_000001405.40 Homo sapiens | reverse complement strand
CTGTCCTTGCAGAGCGTCCAATCAAAATGTATAGATAAAACAAGGAAGGAAAAATGTTCCAAATATACATGAAGCTAAAGTCTTTGAAAATTCATTTGAAGAACAAGTTTACAAGGTAATGTTTAGAGTTTAAAAAAAAACTTTACGTCAAGGAATTTATATTGATGAAATTATAGAAAAATTACATGTAATTTGTTTATTTATATGGTAGTTACTAATCTATAGTTTTTAGCTAGACTTGAACTTTTAAGTATCTTTTGTGGAAAGCACTATATGTAACAGTGACATCTGCAAAATATGATCTAGTTCCTTATATTTGTTTTTCCTTAAAGCTACTGGTAAATTATACTTTCAGTCTGCTGATTATAATGTAAGGTTTAGTGTCTTACAGAAAATTGTTTGTTTGCTCCTTTCTGTCAATCTGTGCCAATTTGACTTCTCCAGTCCTGCTTGATGCAGTCACCCTAAACATCTGATTCGTGGAACAGAAATATGTTAAATGCATTTGGTAGGGTCTTGTTTTATCTTCTTCTGTGCTGATTTACTCATCAACTTCCTGGCCTGTCATATGATAATAGGTCTTCATCCTGACACTTTCTCCTTCACCTTAGACAATATACTCCATGCTTTTATTCCCCTTTGCCAGAATTTTACTATTATGTGGATACAGTTCATAATTCTTAGAAATCCACGTCAGTCTTGAATACCTATCATGATTCTTCCTGGTGAGTTAGTTGCTTGGTGACATGCTTCTTATCAAGTCAAATATTTGAAAATTACCTTCAATTAATAAAATCAGCCTGTCTAAATTATAAATTTACAGTAAAAACCAGGCCTATTTCATTCTGTGCATGTGACAAAAAGCAAGATCATGTTGAAAAAAAAAAGAAAATGTTCTTTTTAAGTTTCCATAGAAAATAATACAGATTTCAAACTTCTTGATTCATTTGAAATTTGTAGTTGTGGCTGAACAACGTAGCTTGTATACATACTAACATACTCTTCTATAATTTGTCCTATGTTCTTTGATATAATCCAATTACATAGACTATATTAATAGAATATTAGAAAAACTTGACAAAATCACCACTCATTATATCTGTGTAAACTTTTACAAGGAATATTGTCTTGGCTTATTTTCATACATTTTGATTTTGCCACATGTTCAAATTCACTAAAAAGTAACCATAAATTTTAATATCCTACAATAAATATTTTGACTAAATTCATATTTAAAGAGAAAAGCATTCATTGAAGGAGTAATAAGCATATACCCTTTTCTCACCAAAGGGAAAATATAAATGGAAATGAATAGGATGAAATAAATGTTTGTTAATTACATACATTTTCCCAGCTGTTGAAACCAATACATATACTTAATCAAAAAATACTGACTTCAAAAAATAAATTTATTTTCTTAAAAAAAATCTATTTGAAAATGTGCTATTTATTCTAGAAAAATATTATAAAGGATGTCATATTCATAGAAACTTTTGGGAGAGTTGGAAGAGAAAATATTAATAAAGTCCTCTGGGTGAAGAAAGAGAGCACAAGGTAAGAAGATCTGGCATGACCGCAAGCCTAGTGGGCAGGTTGTATGGTAGAAAGAAGGGTCAGATGCATAAAGAGGAGGCAAGGTGAGATGGGGTAAAAACCCAATTAGTGGATTAAAGGGTAAGAATCTGAGTTCTCAAACACAGGGGTGATAATATAGGCAGCTTGGGAGAGGATTAGAATAAAGAAGTGATAACAGTATTCAGTTGAGAGGGAAGGCTGTCAAAAATGTAAATACGAAAAAAAAGTAGAACAATGAAAACAAAAACCTGACATTTAATCAAGGGTTATAGTAGCAGAAACTCAAAGAGGGGAAATGTTATGGTTTTAGCTGAAATAATTAACAGAGGACCAAGGCAGATGGAAAATTTGATCCCAATTACAGGAAACCAAATGGACTGCAAAGGAGTATAGGGAAATAACCCATTTCATTTCCTGATTCCTTATCTTAAATACATCGCATTAGGCAGTCAAAGCCTGACATCCACAATTAGATCTTTACTAGAGAGGGTACTGTTAAACCTGATATTTGAAAACTCGAAGAGCATGATATTTCAGAGAACCACACTTAAGCTAGATAGTGTTAGAGTTTTCAATGGCTAATTTTTACTTACATGTTTATATAATCTAACTGATATTGATGTTGCTTCACTTGTTAAAACATTTTGTTGGTAGTTCTTGAAATTAAAGCTTATTGTTTATGAAGGAAATTTGGCCTTTGATTCATTTCCTAATGTATAATTAAGTTGATGCTTTATTATTATCTACTTTTTAAGATAAAATAACATTTTAAATTATTTTCTAGATACCATTTTAAATTTCACTATATGACAATGGTTAGCCACATTTTAGAGACATGTCTTTACCAATTATTCCACCAAAAAATGGGAATACACAAAAACAGCCAAAACTTTACCATTATAATTGTAGTTCTTGTTCTAACTACACTCCAGATAATTTTTATAATATAAAAATATTTTTATCCAACTGGGATTTTATTATTGATGGAACATCACATTTTTCAATTGAAATGACAAAACAAATAATTTAGAAAAGATCAGTGACCAAGACAGAAGTCGCCAATTGTGACAAAGACACGAGTTTAAAATATTTAAAGCTATTATGCAGTGTATATGCATAAAGCAATCTTAAACAAGTGAAAATTTAAGCATAATCTTAATAACAAATTGCATATGATTAAAATGTAAGTGGACTAAAATTTAAGATGTTTTCTTCCCAGTACCTTTTAAATCAGCCTCTCATAAAGTATGATTAAAGAACACATATGAAATAGAAAATATAGAAACTAAAACCAAACTAAAGCTGACACTAAGAATGCCAAAGCTATACCTTGTGAATAGGTATTAGCCTAGAAAAAAAATGCGAAATTCATTTTTTTCTAGTACCTCTCCTGACTCAGAGACCCAGAAACTATACAATTAAAAAACTGGGAAATTTGTTGTACTACTTCCAAAGTTATACCTTTTGAACAGAAAGAATAATTTCACAATGAATTAAACAAGAGAACCCATTTTATTCCTTGTTACGCCTCAAATACGATCTCTCACCACAAAAAAAAAAAAAAGTGTTTCTTAGAATAGAATTTAAGAGGCATAATGACAAATGCACATCTTGGTAATAACTGAATTATAAGAATAATAATGTTATAACTCTTGTAAACTACTGGTAAAACAACAAAAAATGAACTACAATGAAACAAACAAACAAAAAATCAGGCTGGCTTCAGACTTCTCCTTCATAGCATTAAACAACAGAAGGAACTGGAGCAAGTGCAGATTTCTGAGATGAAAATGGGGTGATCCAACAATTCAGTATTGTACCAAATTATATTTTATGTGCCCAAGCATGCTAAATACTCTCAGAGTAGGAAAAAAATTCCATGTACCACCAAAAAAAAAAAAAAATTCTTGAAGACATATTTCAAAAGACCAGGAAGTAAAAAAACATAATTAGAAATAAAAATCTGGCCTGGCCTGGTGGCTCACGCCTGTAATCCCAGCACTTTGGGAGGCCAAGGCGGACGGATCACTTGAGGTTAGGAGTTCAAGACCAGCCTGACCAACATGGAGGAAACCCTGTCTCTACCAAAAATACTAAATTAATCAGGCATGGTGGTGCATGCCTGTAATTCCAGCTAACTCAGGGGGCTGAGGCAGGAGAATCGCTTGAATAGAGGTTGTGGTGAGCCAAGATCATGCCATTGCACTCCAGCCTGGGCAAAAAAAGCGAAACTCTGTCTCAAAAAAAAAAAAAAAAGAAGAAGAAGTAAAAATCTGAAAGTCAGCATTATACTTCAGTAGTATTCTATAAAATTATACTACTGCAAAGCATCCACATGCTGGACATATTACAACCAATACCATCGATACCATTCTGCAATGCATTAATAAGCTCACAAATAAGTAGAGAAAATCCTTAGGTACCAGGAAAAAATTAAAAGTAAACTGAAATAACAAAAGGGTGAACTTAATCTCAAACAGCAGTACTGACTTTGAAGCAAAATTCATACAGGGAATCAGAGTTTTAGAATAGGTAATCAATAATAATCTCCCCTGAGAATGCATGGTTTTAAGCCTGCTCACATAAATATCTGCTGTTCAAATTCATACCACAACCTGTTTAAGAAACAGCCAGGGTAAAAGATTCAATTACATGAGCTCTAGATGGGTAACACCCACTGACCCTAGCAGAGGCAAAATGTGAACAGACCTGGTAAAAGAGATCAGAGTAAATCTAGAAGGGCCATCAACAGTAATCCGGTTACGAGCCATGAGTTAAAGGCCTAAGATTACCTTTATTCAGATTCAGATTGTAAATGTCCAGTTTCAAAAAAAAGTGCATGTTCACATGATCATACCCACCAAAAGATTACTGAATTTAGAATAATCCTCTATTTGAAGCTGTTAGAAAATCATGAGGAAACAGCTACCCAAGCTCTCACAACATACAAAAAATACTCTCAAATTATGAAGGGTGGTCTAATTATTTATACTGATGATGGTAAGATACAAAAATATACCTAATTAAAAGTGAAGTTACCCGTATGTTCAAGGATTTTAGTAAAACTAGTAAGATAACAACAAGAATATATATAACATTCAACTCCAAAAGCTAAATGTTTAATAAGATTTGTTATTGAAAGAATCAGAATTGTGAAAGAACTTTTATAATCTGTACCAATAACTCTAGAACATTAATTCTTGTTACTAACTTGTCTTTCTACTGCAGAGATCATCTACTCTAAGGGAAAGTAACTCAAAAACTATTCAAGAAAATCAATAACTTTTATTTTTGTTACCTTTTCTCAAGATTTTCAAGGAAATATTGTTAGTGTAGGAGAATTCTAAATATGTTATCTGGAAATTAGCTCTTAAAATATTTGGCCTATTAACCAAAAATATTGGCTTGAAAATAATGAAGAACCATTTATTAAACATTTATTATATGCCAAGTGTTCTAAGTTTTATATAGGCATTAATAATCCTATGCATAGATAACATAGTTTTTCTAAATTTATCAGAAAGGATATTGAAGCACAGAGGAATTAAGTAAATTTTGCAATTATATAGCTTGCAAGTAGTGGAACCAGACTGTAAAATGAGGTATTTTAACTCCAGAGCACAAACTATTAATTATATAATAAAATATTGCTTTGCAAAGCTGTGACAAATACTCATAAAGGACTTTTAAATTTAAAAATTAGAACAACTTACATATCACATGACTTGAAAGAAATTTTTAGTCCATAGGCCAAGAGCATTTTTAGAGCAGACAATTAAGTTATGGTTTTTGTAATAAAGAATGTTAGCATTCACAGTGTAAGTTAATACAATACCAATCAAATTAATTTTCTACATATGAATTTAAATTTTAAGCTACATTGGAAATATTATAAGAGCTGGCTTCTGAGTTTTTATAGAAAACAACAGATACCTATGCCTGAAACTCTCCATATGTACTAAAAGAGACAGAGAGAGAGAGAGAGATATCAATAAGGAAAGTAAATAATACCAATAAATAATCCATGCCAATAGTATAGCTGAAACTTAAACAGTTAAAAGTCTTCAAATTACAGGCCAAAGGGAAAATACATGAAATAAGCAGAAGTAGCATCCAAACCTGTATGAAGAGTAAAGAAACTGCATGGAAAAGAGAAGAAATCAGGGGCTTATATTGGTGCAACTGAGGTCAATTGATCCCCAGAAAAAGAATGTTAGCTTGGATAAGTAAATATTGAAAATAGATCTTCTGCCAGGTGGATTAGAGAACTGGCTGTTGGGGAATCAAAAGGAAGGGACTTGAAGATGCACATGATTAAAGATGTCAGTTACGGGAAGTGAAGGTGTTGCTTAATGGCTCTGTGGTAGTAGTAAAGACAGAAACAAGTGGTAGAAATTAAGACCCCAAAGAAAGAACAACAAAAAAATCATAAATTAAAAGACATACAACCACCCCCACCAATTGCAACCTCTTAAATAAATGGTACTTCACAATATTAATTGAAGAGGATACACATGAGCTAATAAATCTAATAAATTACCCATATTCCCTATTCATGCATAAGTATATGTTTATTACCGGTCAAGTAAAGTAAACAAAAAATTACAATCAATAGAAATGTCAGGAAAATCAGTCAAAACTACCATAAGAACAAAATAGAAGTAAGAATAAAACTGTTCTAGTCAATCAAATTTCTCCCTAACACAATCTAAAGCATAGAAAACTTGTAGTCTAACACCTTCATCAGAAACAAATAGCCTTAAAACCATTTTCAGACACTTAAAAAACCTTCAAACCAGAAATTTAAGACCTAAAAAGATGAAAAAAATAAAGATGTAAACAAGACACAAGCACCCTCAGGAAAGAGCAAAAGAAAAAGATAAAGTAATCTCAGAAATAAAGACAAAATTAAAACATAACAAAGGTAGAATATATTTGACTATAAAAGTAATAAGAGGCATTTAGAGAATGAATAAAAATGACCAAGAGAATGAAAATGAAATTAAGAGGTAAAAGGTGAGAAATATAAAAGATAAAATGAGACTGTCCAATACACATATAATTGGAGTCCATGACGAAAAAACCAAACCAATGGAATAAAACTAATATTTTAAAAGATAATCTAAGAAAATGTTCCAGAAGTAAAAGGAAGACATAAATTTGTATTTTGAAAGAGTTCATGCACTTAGAAAAGTTGACCCAGAATGGTTAATTTGAATATAGACTAGGAAAACTATTAGAATTTAAAGATAAAGAAAAGAACTCTTCAGGGTCTCCTAACAAAAGATCGAGAAGTTTATAATTAAAGAATAGGAGGTTAAAATAAGTGTCTCACAACAAAATACAAAGCAAGACAATATCAGAACATTAATTTCGAGAAATTCAGAGAACCAAAGTAAGCTGTTCTTCACATTTAAAGTCTATATAAAAATAGTGTTGTGTGCAAATTCTCACAGGATATTATAGAAATCTACTGTAATAGAAGCTTCATTCAACATGAAAATATCTGCAAAAATGGCACAGAATAACTGACAATAGTTATGTAATATTTTTAATTGCAGACCTAAGATGAAAAACTAAATAAAGCAAAACTTTTGTACAAATGTATAATAATGTAAATGTTATGTGTTCTGACAAATGAAAATAATGAAACTAAATAAATTAGAGAAAAAGGAACACAGAAAAGGGAAATCAAATAAATTATTAACCCCTAAATAAAAAATAGGAGAGAATGAAAGAATACATCATTAAAGCTGAAAACAAATGGTGTGAGCCTAAATATATATCATAGAAATTTGAAATAAATGTAGCACAAAATATATATTTTATTAACCATATATGTAGTATAAAATAGTAGTTGAGATAAAGAGTATCAGTCATATTAGTCAATGTAAGTCGTCTTAACATATTTATTTAAGAAATAAGATTTTAGGTTGTCTCACAAAATGAAAGCCAGTGCTACATTGTATGCAAGAGATAAATCTAAAACCAAGTGATTCAGAAAGGATGAAAATAAAGGGATGGGTAAGAGCATACCAGCAAACTGCAAAAAAAAAATAATAATAATAATAAAGGAGTGATTGAGATAATTATAACAAGGTACAATCCAGACCAGAAAGCATTAATTAAGATTTTTTAATAAGAACTTTATAACAAAAATCAAAATTGGACAATGAAGATATGAGCTATCAATTTCTATGCAACAAGTAACATATTGACCAATTCAGAATTACAGATGATGCTAGCACAAGCAGACAGAAACACATTATTTAAAGGAGATTTTAACTCACACTCCCTACCAGATAGGTGGCAAAAAACTAAATGACAGAATCAATAAGATGAAAACCAATAGGTAGATAGAGATATATTCAACTTCACATCGCAAAAAAACAAACATTTACCTTATTCTAAGGCACACATGGAACATTTATAAAAACTGAACATACAGGCATACCTCAGCAATATGGCAAGTTTGGTTCCAGACAACCACAATAAAGTAAATATTGTGATAAAGGAAGTCACACAATTGTTTTGGTTTCCAAGTGCATATAAAAGTTATGTGTACACTAGACTGCAGTTTGTTAAATGTGCAATAGCATTATGTCTAAAAACTCCATGTACATACCTTAATTTTTAAATACCTTATTGTTTAAAAATGCTAACCATTATCTGAGTCTTGAGCAAGTTATAATCTTTTTGCTGGTGGAGGATCTTGCCTCAATATTGATGGCTGCTGACTAATTAGAGTGGTGGTTCCTGATGGTTAGGATGACTGTAGCAATATCTTAAAATAGGACAACAATAAAGTATGCCCCATTGAGTGATTCTTATTTTTACAAAAGATTTCTCCACAGCAGGCAATACTGTTTGATAGCATTGTACTCACAGCACAATTTCATTCAAAATTGAAGTCGATTCTCTCAAACCCTGTCACTGTTTTATCAACTAATTGTATGAAATATTCTAAATCTCTTCTGTCATTTCAACAATGTTCACAGCATCACAAACACTTTCTTTGCTCATGTATGAAAAGAACTTCTCATCCATTAAAGTTTTATTATGAGATTGCAACAATTCAACCATGTCTTCAGGCTCCACTACTCTTGTCCTCTTGCTATTTCCACCATATGTACAGTTACTTCCTCCCTGAAGTCTTGAACCCCTCAAAGTCATCCATGAGAGTTTGAATCAACTTCTTACAAAAGCCTGTTAGTGCTGATATTTTGAATTCCTTTCATAAATTATTTATGTTCCTAATGACATCTAGAATTACCAGAAGATTTTCAATTTATATTACCCATATCCATAAAAGGAGTCAATATTTATGGCAGCTATAGCCTTAAAAAATATATTTCTTAAGTAATAATCATTGAAAGTCAAAATTATTCCTTGATTCATGAGCTGCATAATGGATGTTGTGTCAGCAGACAGGAAAACGACATGAGCCTTCTTGTACATCTCCAACAGAGCTCTTTGGTGACTATGTCAATGTGCAGCAATATTCTGAAAGGAGTCTTCTGAGCAGTAGGTCTCAATAGTGGACTTAAAATATTCAGTAAACCACACTGTAAACAGATGTGCCATTATCCAGGCTTTGTTATTCCATTTACAGGGCAAAAGCAGAGTAGATTTAGCATAATTCTTAAGGGCCCTAGGACTTTTCAGAATGGTAAATGAGCATTGAATTCAACGTAAGTCACAAGCTCCATTAGCCCTTCACAAGAGAGTCAGCCTGTCCTTCAAAGCATTGAACTCAACAACTTTTCCTCTATAGTTGTGAAAGTCCTAGATGGCATCTTCCAATAAAAGGCTATTTGCCTATACTGAAAATCTGTTGTTTAATGCAGCCATCTTCATCAATTGTCTCAGCTAAATCTTCTGGATAACTTGCTACAGCTCCTACCTCAGCACTTGCTAATGCAGCTGGTGACTTAAGTTGAATTCAACTCAACAGTTGTTGCTTCATCTTACATTTTTATGTTGTAAATACAGCTTCTTTCCTTAAACCTAATAAACTTCTGTTAGCTTCCAACTTTTTCTGCAGCTTCTTCACCTCTCCCTGCCTTCACAGAATTAAAGAGAATTAGTACCAATTCTGGATTAGGCGTTGGCTTTAGATAATGTTGTGGCTTGTTTGATCTTCTTTCCAGACCACTAAAACTTTCTCTATATCAGCAATAAGGCTGTTTTGCTTTCTTGACATTCATGAGTTCACTGAAATAGCACTTCTAATTTCCTTCAAAAACTTTCACTTCGCATTCTCAACTTAGCTGACTGTTTGGTGTAGGAGGCCTGGCTTTTCTCCTGTCTTGACTTTCAACATTCCTTTTCCACTGAGCTTAATCAGTGCTAGCTTTAGTATTATCGTGGTGTTATTAATTGGCTTAATTTCAATATTGTTGTGTCTCAGAGAATAGGGAGGTTTCAAGGAGAGGGAGAGAGATGGGAGAACAGCTGGTTGGTGGGGCCGTCAGAAAATGTGTGACATTTATCAATTAAGTTTGCCATCTTCTATAGGCATGGTTCGTGGTACGCCAAGACAATTACAGTACGATAGTATTTGAAAGATCACTGAACAGATATAATAATGATAATAATAATAATAAACTTAAAATATTTTGAGAATTACCAAAATGTGACACAGATAGGAAATGGGCACACGTTGAAATATGATACCAATAGACATGTTCAGTGCAGGGTTGTCACAAATCATCAATTTGTAAAACATGTAATATCTGTGAAGCATAATAAAGCAGGGCAAAATAAAATGAAGTATTCCTGTATAATAAACTATTACAAAAATCTTAATAATTTCTACGAGAGGAAAAATACAAACATGGCCACAACATCATGACATTTTACAGTTATAACAATATTTTAAGGTTATTGCAAGTTGAATTTTAAAACTCTCTAATAAGTAATTATTGAGCAAAAGGAAAAAGACCAAAATGGAATTACAGATTCTACATATCAGGATTTATGTCATTACATTAAATCACTAATAAGCAGAAAATATACGAGTTAAATTCCCAATTGAAACAGCTAGAAAAGGACAAAATGTAAACCTAAGCAAAAGGGAACAAAATAAAATAAAAGCAGATATTAATAAAGTTAGAAAACACAAAATAGTAGAAATTTAGTATTTTAATTAAAAAACAAAACAAATCATTGACTAATCATTAAAAGAAAGCAAAACTACATGAAATAATAAACTACAGGGGACAAAATAAACATTAAAATAAGAGTAAATTTCAAAATCATGTGACTTTTACCTTTTACTTTGCACAACAAATAAACTTGAAAATCTAGATGAAATGACTAATTCTAAAGAAAAATATTTTTACCAAATTGATCTCAGTAGGAACTGAAAGTGTAAACAAATCAATTTCCACAGCAGAAATAGAGAAAATTAGTAAAGTATTACCCCACATACAGATCACCAAGTCCAGATGTTTTCAAAGGGCAATTTCTGGAAATCTCCAAGGATGAAAATAGAAGTCCAATGATATTAAATAATTCCAGAGCATAAGGGGAAAAATAAAAACTTCCAAATTCTGTTGTGTTTCTTGGGAGAGTACACAAAACCTTGATACCTAAACCTAGTAATTATAGCTTTAAGAAATTAAAATAACATTTATTAATATTTCTTCAAAATTGTAATTAAAATATTAGCAAACAGAGTCCAATAGTTTATACAAAAAAAATACATCATGGTCAAATGGTATTTATTCCAGGAATGCAAGGGCAACTTAATATTTGGAAATCCATCAGTGCATCAATGTACTTCACCATATTAGTAAATATAAGAAAAAAACCACATGATTGATTCCATAAACGTTGAAAACTTAAAAGAAGATTCAACACATTTCAGCACCCATTTTAAATAAAATAGATGTGTGTATGTGTGTGTTGTGTGTATCCTAAAGCCAGTATCTGACCTATTTGACTTAATAGGAAACACTAAAGACACTCCCTTTATGGGCAGGAAAAAGGCAAAATGTTCACTGTCTCCAATTATAATCCTGCATTTGAGATATTAATCAATGAAATTAGATATGAGGAAATAGAGACATAAGAACATAAAAGAAGTATAAAGCATCCTATTTGAAGATGACAAGATAGTATACATAAAAAACTCGAGGATTTAATGACTAAACTGAAACCAAAAATAAAATTTAAAACAGTAGAAAGAGAAATACTATACACAAATTAATGTACTCCATATATACAAATTATTAATTAGAAGATACAATGTAAGAGAAATGCTATTTTTCATGGCCACCAAAAAAAATGAAGTACTTAGAAGTAAACCTAACAAGTGATGTTAAAAAGGTTTTTAAAGAAAACTTTAAAATACTCCGAATGAAAAGTGAACTTAAAGGGAAAACTATCTGTTCTTAGATGGTCTGAGTCAACACCACGAAGATGGCAATTCTCACCATGTTAATCTAGAAACAACATGACTCCATAAAAATACAAAGAACAATATGTTTGAAGCTAGATAAGTTGATTTTAAAATTTTAAGGAAAATAATTACGGTAGAAAAACTAGAATAATCCTCAAAAGCAGCAGTAGAGTGCCTAGCCAAACAAATACTAAGATATAATCAAGGCGCGGTGTTACAGGAGTATAAACAGAATCAATGAGAAAGCCCAGTACGTATGTAAATTTTATATATATTATATATATATGTGTGTGTGTGTGTGTGTGTGTGTGTATGTATATATATGTGCATATATGTATATATGTGTATATATGTGTATATGTGTGTATATGTGTGTGTATATATACACACGTGTGTACATATGTATGTACATATGTGTATATATATATACACACATGTGTACGTGTGTGTGTGTGTGTATATATATACATACACATATATATACACCATTTCCAATCACTCCTTTTGGGGAAATGTGATATCAGATCTGTACCTCAAATATACAAAAATAAACTAAAAATAGATCAGATATCTAAATATAAAAAATGAAATCATATATATACTAGAACAGGACATAGATTAATTCCTTTTTAACCTTGATATGGGGAAAGCCTTTCTACCACAAAATCCAGATACAATAAAAGATAAATTAAACTACATAAAATATTTTAAAATAACCTTTTGCAGGAAAAAAACACTATGAGCAAAATCAAAACAAAAATGACAAAATGTGAGAAAATATTTGCAACATATATTGCAGATAAAAGGTTAATATTCCAAAAATATAAAGAAATCTGAAAAATGAGAGAGACATGAACATATGTTCCACAGAAAAAAAAACATATACAAACAGTCTTAAAATACATGTAAGATGCTTCCAGTCACTTAATTTATAAAAACGTAAATTAAAACTCCACTGACTGACCATTTCTTCCTTATCAAGTTGACAGAAATCCAAAGCTTCACCATACACCCTGCTAGTGAGGTTGTGAAGAAACACATCCTCATACGTTGTTGGTCAGAACATCACATTATACCATCCTGTGGAGGGGAATTTAGCAAAAGTTAGCAAAACAAAACCTATCCTTTGATCCAGCAGTTCCACTTCTAAAAATTTAATCTGAGGATATATCTCTACAACTACAAAACGTATGTATAAGTGTTTAAGTGTATTCATTGAAACATTAATTATAATAGCAAAATATTGAAAACAACTTAAATTCCCTGCAGTAGCAAGCAATAGATTTTTATACATTACCGAATATCCAAAAATGGGTACTTTGTAGCTATACAAAACACTAAAGAAGTTGCCAGTAAACTGCTAAGGAGTGATTCCCAGGATATATTGTTAAATGTAAAAATATATATTATAACCTACTGTGTAAGAATGAGGAGAATGAAGACACACATTAAGCATGTTTATTTGTGTATGTATTGCTTAATACATTTGTGTATATATTTGTGAAAATAGACACACTCAGAAAAAAACCAGAAACTAATGAAAATTGTTACCTAAAGATGAAAAGTGGGAAAAAAGTATAAGAGAAAGGAAAAAGAATCAAACTTTTCTGATTCATCCATATATAATATATATATATATAGCATTTGATATGTAAGCATATCACTTCTTTATGTAAATTTAGAAATTAAATCAAGAATCCAAAAAAAATCACTAAAATTGAACAGAAACAGAAACAAATTTAGCTATAGCAAATTTATAACATACGTGTCCGTACACACACACACACACACACACACACAATTTCAGAAATTTTTGAACACAGTACTGTGATTATTAACCCCTAGTAGAATACATTTTAAAGACAAAAAGAACTTTAAAAAACTTTAAGTTTACTTAGCAAGTTTGCTGTTGGTAGTGGTATCGGTGTAGTAATTCTGAAAATATTTTGTGGGTGCTGTAAAATACACTAAATGAATAAATATATTGGTGTTGACAGTCAGGATCTTCACTGTGGAAAAAGTAAGATTCCAACATAGGAAGTGTGGAAGAACTCTGCAATGCAGCTTTCAGTATAAGAGATAGTGTGAAAGAACTCTGCAATGCAGCTTTCAGTATAAGAGATACATATACTGCATTGACTGACTGAATAAGCACATGATGAACCTGAATCTTGGTTTCTAAATACAATTCCCCACTATAAGGAACCAGAGCTCTTTGGAGAAATGGTTGATTCCAGCTCTTAGGCATGGAAAGTGCAAGGTAGGTTTGTAACATATTGCTGAGACAGAAAGCAAAGAAAATGCTCAAAGATTGATAAGGCTATATCAAACGACACGAGGTCAACTTGAAGGGGCTTCTACTTCACATATTTGGGATAATTTGAGCAATCAAAAAAATAATGATGGCAATGGATGATAACACATCAAATATTTTAAAAATTCCTAACTCCATAATGATATTTTAAAAAATAAAAGAGATGGGGAAGAGAAAGTTCTTCCTTGAAGAAAGTCTATTAGTAAATATAAAACAAAAGATATAAATTAAAAAATTTTTATTTTGCAAGCACTAATGCTAAGATTATCATGAATGTTAAAAAATATTAAATCAATTTTTTGAGAGCAAGATTTGTATACAGTCTTAAAGCGTTAACCACAGTTATCTATCAACTGAGAAAAAAGTTTACCTTTTACAATGAAAGAATCTCAGAGATATCAGTTTAATCAAATAAACAATAAAGCATGACCAATAATGGTATAAGTCAATATTATTAATGTGATACACTGAGAAGGACACAAGATCATCTGTTTATTATTCTTGACAAAAAGTATTTCAACTGATTCTAAAAATCCAGAAATAATCAGTGGGACATTGTGAAAAAAATAAAAAAAACACTGGCCTAGACTTTTCAAAATTTCAAATTCATGAGACAAGAGAGGGACTATTCTATATTAAAGACAAGACAACTAAGGGTATTGAATAATCCTTGATTGAATCATCAGTTGAAAAGTGAAACAACTATAAGAAATGTGAATTTCATAATGGAAAAATTTTAATATGGGCTGATATCAGGTATTTTTCTTACATCAATAGTTTATATTTTGGGTGTAACAACACCATTAAGGTTATGAAGAAGAATGTCCTCATCTTGAAGAAATAGATGTTGAAGTATTTGGGGTGAATTATCATGATGTCTGCAACTGATTTCTAAATGGTTCAGTAAATATATTTCTGTATGTGAGAAGGACACAGAGAGAGAGCGAGATTGCCAGTGTAGGAAATTGGTAACCTCTGGTGTACTTAGATGAGACATATGAGTGTTCATTATATATGTTTTTAGTTTATTCATAGGCTTGAAATCTTTCAAAGTAAAAACTTAGGAAATGAAAAAAGTCATTTAGCATTAATGAACAAAATGTATTTATTTTTAAGAGTTTCAAAGTTATTATTTTAAGCAGCACAAAGCTAAGGCTATCTAAAACATAATAATAAAATTATAGTCGGGTTATTTAATTGCCTTTTATCGCCTAAAAATAATAATTAAAAAGGAAGCGTATGCTGTTTATTTACTTAAAGGAATATTCCTATCAGAAAGAAGAATGTAATTTTCTCATATTTTGCCCTCATCCACCAAATATGTGTAATAATTCACAAGAATGTTGACTCTTTTAATAGTTCCAGAAAAGTTTTGCAGATTTTGAGGTAGATGAGTTAAACTGAGGTCATAAATTCAATAATAGCAAAATCACTTCTTAACTTCCACATTAGCATCAGGAACTCTGGCTACAAATTCCACCTCTGTTACTCACTAGACATGGAGTCACCGTCTAACTTGTTCAGATTTCACATTTCTCATCTGTAAAATGTGAATATGAATACCTATGTCATTCCTCCCTTTGAAGAATCATAAGTTATGTAAGCAATATCATTTAATAGCATAATGTCTAGCTAGACTAGGGGCTCCATAAATGTTAGGTGAACTTGGTATTGTCTAATAACATCAATGGTTTAACTTGTTTTTGACACTTGAACTTGGTTCTTTCTAAATTAATATAGTCATC
The DNA here is from genome assembly GCF_000001405.40 of Homo sapiens. NCBI lineage: Eukaryota > Metazoa > Chordata > Mammalia > Primates > Hominidae > Homo > Homo sapiens. Next base: position 97,630,508 of record NC_000006.12, on the reverse strand, counting down.
GGTGCTGTCTGCAAGAGAGAATATATTGAATTTCATGAGTTATGAAGAAGCAGAGATATATCTTCAATTAAAATTTGTACAAAATCACAGTCCTCGAAAAGGCACAAGGCCATATAAAAACTAATAAGAAATTCTCATCCATAATTGATCCACAGTTTTTAATTAATGCATTTCTCTAATAGCTATTCAGCTGTTACACTGGTGCTACTGAAATTAAAACACTATAAAACAGTGTTATCATTCCAAAAATATACACCTAAAAATGATTTTACCTCTTATTTTCAAAGCAATATATTTAATCCCATTACATTTGAATTGGTAATTATTAGATAACTTCCAAGCAAGTCTAAACAGGTAGTTTCCCTTTTTATAGAACTATGCCAAAGTTACCAGAACAGAGTCATCTTATAGATGAATAAGGCAGGTAGTAATCTATTTATTTGGCACACTTTGAGAAATATCATGGCAGAAAGATTCTCAGTCTTCTTCCTCTTTATAAATAACAAAAAGGTGCTAACAGTCAATAAGCCTACAAAAAGGGCCAGGAGTTGAAAAACCCCTCCTATCCTCAAACATATTTTAAGCATTTGCATCTCTTTTAAATATGCTCCAGTGGGAAAAGGTGTATTAAGGGAAGGGAACAGTGGGAGTGAGATGAAGGAAAACCCCCTAAATTGCTACTTTTCCAGAGGCTTAACTGTAAATAGCAGATTACAGAACCAGAATCAAACACAGCATTTGGGTGGGTGGCTGAGCTGTAGAGAAGACCCCTTCTTCCACTCATTGATATTAAATACACACCAGCCCCATTGATTTGTGTGAACTGTTGTTTTATAATTAAGCAAGAAAAGTTTAGTTGCGACCAGAAGCCATCAAATTAGGGGAGACAAGAATAATGAAGGCGATGGCATCATTCCCTGCCTGATGCATTCAAGGTTCCAGAGGTAAAGGTGAAAAAGTAACAGAACTGTCTTATGAGAGATTTCCTGTGATTCTTAGAAAGCCTGAGATATTGAAATATTTTCATGAGAGTCTTTGGGTAACTCTTGGCACAAGTGCGATTCTGAGTTGGGGAAAGAGCCTTTCTCCCTGCTGTTTCCTCACACCCTGCACTCTTGTGACACTCAGGGCTGGCAGCCTTACGGACACTGCCACCCACACCCAGGAAAGAGAGGAAGGCCCCTGTCAGCATAGGCAGGAGGTGAAACTCTGTGAAGCAGTTTTATGGATGGAGACTCCATCCATGGAGAAAAACAAAGGAGAACATGAATATTTAGTCATGTGGGGGGAAAAATGAGACTATGAACAAATGTTAGGCCCCCATCCCTTTAATTTATATCATGTCCTGCCACTGGGTCAGTCTCCCTAAAAGAGCATTTTATCCTTTTTGTAAATTCTTCATCAAAAATCATTAGATATAGGATAAACAAAACATTCTGATCACGACCTTCTAAAATGTGGCCTCAATGAATTCCCTTTCATTCTCTATAAGAATCTCATATAACCTAAACATATTTGCCACTTCCTCTCTTCTCCCAGTTTCTTACCTTGATTAAAGCATATCGTTTCTTGAACTTTGTACAGTCTCCTGCATCCTCTCCTGCCCGTCTAAATACAAAGCAAGTAAAGTACCATCAGTTCCATAAACACTTTCCAGCCTTCAACAAACTACTTTGATCTACTGCTCTTCCCAAAAATATGACACAAATTGTCCATATTCAGATATTAGCATTGCAAACTTAAAAAAATATATGGTTTGATACTTCATCAGTTATATATTGTTTGGGAACATCTTTTTTTCTGTTGTCTAATTTTGTACTTGGCCTTTGTATTATATTTTGTCTGGCCTTCCCATTTATAAAGTAAGTTTCTTGATGACAAGTTCTATGTTATTCTCATCTTTGCATTTTCTACAGTGCTTAACATGGAGAAGTCCTCTATAAATATTTTTGATGGATAAATTGACTCATTTATTTAGCATGGTATCAAGAAAAATGAGAAGGAATATTTGGAGTAACATCTCATCACATTTTGAAATGTTACTCTTTTTTCTCTATCCAGAAAAGTCTCTTTTCAGTTCTAATCCGAACTTCCTAGTAACTGAGATAAAGTCAAATAATCAATCCACAGTCTGCTAGCACATATTAGCAAAAATTTCGCCAACCCACAGTGATAATCATCAAAGGATAAAATGTTCATAGTCAACTCTTCTTTTAGGTTTACAAACAGTGAATGTATAACCAACCAGACTGAAAGTGAGATCTACCACAACAAGGCACCATGATCCTTTTATTTTCCATTATGCATTATTTTAAAGAAATTTAATAACAAAACAAAAGTGCCAGGAAACTTGAGATCTAAGTCCTTTATATTAATCTTTAAGACGTACTTTTATGTACTAAAATAAAGTATCTGTCTCCAAGTTCTTTGTTGATTAGTCAACCACACTGGAAGAAAGACTAAATTTTTTTTTCCAGTCTTTTGCCTCCTTATTCACTAAGGATAAAAAAAAATTATCACATTGAAACCATCGGCTGCTCAAAATTCATATTTCTCCAGCACAGTCAAAGATTATTAATAATTATTACATATAAACTATAAGATGTTCTATTTTAATAGTTTCTTATATGCCTCAAAAGCATTTCTTTCCCTTCTTACATGAAGTCTTGCCTCCCTTTTATTCCTTTACTCATACATTAACATTTATAATTCCTTACATCACAAAAATATACAATAAGAAGAAATCTCTTCATTTATTATTAGTATGAGAAATCAGAACTACGTTAGATTCAACACATTGGAAAACAAAATGAAACCACCGATCCCCAACCTCTAGTGTAAGAGAAATTAAGCAGAAAGAGTTGCCTCTGTTGGGTTTTAAAAACAATATATAAAACTAAATGGATAGAGAAGGAAAGCAAACAGTTGATTCACATGACCAGGGTGAAAGGAAAAACAAACATTATAGTTGCAAAAACATATATTCCATAACAAGTTCTTAAGACTCCCAGGTGCAACATCAGCAGCGCTCGAGTCTCGATTTTTATTGTAATCTTGTGGCTTTTTATTTGTAACTTATATGAAAAGAATCATATTGATTGGGGCAGATTTAACTCAGTAAAACCTATTCTACCGAGATTGTCTGTGCTAGGTGATTTTATCAAGTTCTCTTTTGGTTTCATTTTCTTCCTCATCCCTATTCCCAGGGGAGGCTGCAGCCCAGCTTGCAGAGCAAATTGCCCTAAATTGAGTTCTTTCTCTGGCATAGACAGGGCTGCCTTTGGCTCCTCGGCTTGGAAACTTTATGCATTCTTTTTTCCTTCGTCCTTAACAATCCCCTTCCCTTTTTCCAATTAAAATGGAGAAGTTTGCACCGGTACCTGCTCCCAATTAAATGAATACTGCATTACCAGCCACACTCCCGGATCTTCTTTACCCTCCCTTCATTAGCCTTATTCCTCTGAGGCTGCCTGGCTGTCTGCCAGGGACTTATGGCAAGAATTCAAAATCTTGCACACTTTATCCCCTCCAAATCATTCTTGAATATAAGCAGTCTGCTCCTTAGGCCTAGCATGAGAAATCCAAGAACGTGTTCAAAATGGATAGGGGGTTGGGAGGGAGAGAAGAGAAAAAAATGATTTATTTAAAAGGCTAAAAGCCTACGCAAAGAAAGACAAGCTAAGAGAGGTTAAGCTTCCCAGTTAATTGACCTTAGTTTCTTTTTTAAAAGCCTGAGTAGGAAGAACAACAAATGACAGTTCAATGGCCTTGCTTTATTTCTGAGTGCCTTCATGTCTACAGGAAGTACATCATCATCTTTGCACCTCAGGCATACTGACTCCCAACACTCAAAATAATGTACCATGACCGAAGAGGCCAATATTGGAAGCTTAAGCAACTACTGTTATATATATATGTGTGTGTGTATATATATATGTGTGTGTGTATATATATGTGTGTGTGCATATATATGTGTATATATGTATATGTGTATATATGTATATACATTATATATACATATATATGCATAGATATACATATATACATATATACACACATATATACATATATGTGTATACATATATACGTATATATGTAATATGTGTATATACATATATATGTATATATATAAAGATCAACATGGAATTTTCCAACAAATGTGAGTGCTATGGGGCTGTTGCATCAGCCATTCTCAATTGACACTTGGAATCAGTGAATGTGCATCAAGCTGTCATGAATGATGACCTAGGTGTCAGGCCAAAAAACAAATGGGCATTCTGTTTGCCTCCACTACTCTCTGAAACTTTGCAAATTTCATTTACAGAACTACTGAGCATACTTGAGCAGAATATGTGATCAAATTCCAGTTCTAGTACATACTGTGTGTGTGACCTTGAGCAAGTTATTTAACTTCTCCAAGGCTCATGGTTATCATTTGTAAAGTGGGACTAATAACTATATCCAGAATGATATGCTTTTTGTGGATTAAGTAGTTCATGTAAAGCACCGAGCACAATTCCTGGCACATGGTACATAGTTACCTACTGTATATTCCCATTATTATTGTTACTATTATTAATACTAGGCAAAAATTATACCATATGATCTGATAGAAATTTGGAGCCTTTCCCAGAATATGGCAAGGGCTAAAGACAATTTGCAGATGATTTTTAATTTTATAAATTTAAAAATGTGCAATTGGATTCTCAGAAGTTGACCCATGTTTGGCACAGAACCCAACACAGCTATGACATCCGCCAAGGTCAATATTGGAAAACCTATCCTTTAGTGGTAATTATACGTCATCAAATTCTTCAAGCACCTTAGAGAATATATCACCATTGCTGACTTTTTAGTAGAACAATATGTAATTGCACACTTCAAAACAGTCGTCACCAATTTGTTTCAGTTCTGAGAATTAACATAGTATTTGTTTTATCTCCTAGTGATAAACTTCCCAAGCACGCTATAATGCCACAGTTCACCACTTGAAGAAAAAAAAGCAAAGCAATGCAAAAAGCCATAATTGCTAAATCTTTTTCAGTGGTTAGATTGATGAAAAGACAAAAAAATCGTAAATATGAATTGGGATAAATACAATAAACAAATTTGTGCTGACTGTTTTTATCTCCTACAACAGACACCACTGATGTCTGTACATGAGCTGCACAATTATTGACTGATTTATAAGAAATATGCCGTGTATTGTCTAAGAAACCCAAGGCAGTAGACATAATCTCAAAATAGGAAGTTACTTTATAAATAGCTACTTTTAATGTGTAAATTTTTAAACTAATATCTAACAGTTGTACATATTTGGGGGGTGCCTGTGATATTTTGATATCTGTATACAATGTGTAGTAATAATCAAATCAGGTAATTGTTACATCCATCGTCTCAAACATTTATCTTTTCTTTGTGTTGAGAACATTACAGTTCTTCTCTTCTAGAAAATAACTATTTTTGATTGATCAAATCCAGGTCAAATTTCCTATAGCATTTTACAATAATTATTAGGAATGCAAACACTGGAATCAGAGATCTGGAATTACATTACAGCCTCAACTTTTGCTTGCTATGTAACCTCGAAAATGTCATTTAACTTATCAGACCCTCCATTTCCTCAAATAGGGCTTATAACATGTGCAAGGTGATGTTTTTAAGGATTACATTTAAAATGCTTAACTTGAGCCATAAGAAGCTCTCTACTTTACCATGATCATGATCATCATCGCTATTATTACTGTCAAGTTTTTTTACTTTCAAAAATTAGTTCTTAAAATAGGAAAAGAATGTGAAATATGAAGCAAGAGATTTTGATGTATATCAAATATTAGTGAGACTGCACTGATCCCACTAGAGGTAACACACACTCACTGATTCAGATCATGCATATTTGAGGACAGCTAAATTGGGATCGTTCTCAGAAATTATACTTTAAGGAATGGATTGAAAAATCTACTACATCCAGGAAGTTTTACATATATATATGTAAAACTACATATATATGTAAAACTATATATATATATAGTTATTTAACAAAAAGACATATTACATGCACTAGCACAGAAGATATAAATCAAGTCACATAGCAATGAGGGAAGGTCTGCCAATTCCAGGTAAAGGTCTTTCACGTGATATTTATACTCAGTAAGCCAGAGATGCCATGTTACCTGGTTATGTGAGAAAAAAAAAAGATTCAACAGGAAGGTAAAATATTTTCCATTGTTGCACTATCACAAGCATTTTAAAATTACAAAACTAATTTTAAATGAAAATGTGTTCTTAAACCTCAAGTGTCACATGTATCCCCTTGAACCTGCCCTTTGGCTAAAGATCCTATCTTGGTTAATGGCACTATCATTCATCTATCCCGGAAAACTGGGAGCCATCCTGCTATTTCCCTACTCAAAAGTCACCTGTGTACTAACAATTCTACTTCCATGACATTGGCTAAAACAGAATCATCTTTGCTGATACTTAGTTCAGAACCTCATTGTCTCATGCCTGAACTACTGTAATAGTCTCCAACTTGTCTCCTTTATCTCAGATTCTACCACTCATTGCCTTCTCTAAATTCTCATTAAAATAATCTTGCTAACACAGTCTGATTGTGCTATTCCTCAACTTGAAACCTGTGATCTCATATCAGACTCTTCTCAGCCCAGCCCCATGTGCTTGTCCCTCCCTACTGTCATCCTCCATGCCCACTCTCATCCCCAGTGCCCTCCGTGTATCACCCATATTCTTTTTCATTTTGTTACTCGTTCTTCTAGCTTATGTTAGTTCTGTAGTCTATAATGGACTTATTTTTCCCATTTAGTCTAAATATTACATGAGTGCTTGAAAAGAAACTTCTATGTAAGTTCTATATAGACCCATTAGGTGAAGCTTCTGTCAGCTACCGAGAGAAGTGTGTTCAGATATTTTTGAATTGTGGATTTGTCATTCTCCCATGTAGTATTATCCATTTATGTTTATATATATTTTTAAGTCAAACTTAATTTTTAAAATTTATATATATAAATATATATTTTGAAACAAGGTCTTATTCTGTCAACCAGGCAGTGGCGTAATCACAGCCCACCGTAACCTCCAAACTCTAGGGCTCAGGTGGTACTCCCAAGTCAACCTCCCAAGTAGCTGGGAATACAGGCATGTGCCATCATGCTCAGTTAATTTTTTAATTTTTAGTAGAGACAGGGTCTTGCTATGTTGCCCAGGCTTGTATCAAACTCTTGGCCTCCGTTGATCCTCCTGCCTTGGCCTCCCAAAATGCTGGAATTACAGGCATGAGCCACCACAGCTGGCCTTAAGTCAAACTTTAGATTATATATAAATGTACTTTTAAAATTTATTTATTTGAAAGTCAATTACTAAAAGCTATATGTAAATATTAAGACATTAACAATGAATTTTTAATTAAAATGACAATTTATAATTGTATAAACTTATGGCACACAAAGAGATGTTAATAAGGAATAATTAAATCGAACTAGTTAACATATCCATCACCTCAAATACTTAACATTCTTTTGTGGTAAGAACATTAGAAATTTACTCTCAGCAATTTTGAAATGTACAATACTCTATTATTAACTATATTTATTTTTAACAATATTAGGCTTATATAATTTTCTAATATGCATACATATATATTTATATGTTCCATTTAACTTTATACTGGCTTAAATTATTCTATACAAAAATAATATAGTGATAACACCTTTCTTCTGGCTAGTAATTATCTGGGATTTGTTTTCATCATTTACTTTCATCATGGCTGTGTCCTTATGTTTTAAGTACAAATCTTTAGAGAGCATACTACTGAAATTTTAAAAATCCAGTCTGACCACTTTTGTCTTTTATTTGGAGAGTTTGCTCCATACATATTAATTGTGACTACCGGCCTGTTTGAATTTACTTCACTTAATTTGTGCATCTGAGACTGCCCTATTTGATTTTTGTTCTGTTTCTTTTTAGCTTGTCTGTCTCCTTAATTCCTTCAAGAAGTGTGTACTGAACAATTACTATCTTGCAAGCACTATTCTAGACATTGGAGATTGGAGCTGAAGGAGATACAGACTCTTGCTCTCAGGGAGATTACATTCTAGTGGGAGGGGAGAGACAATGAATAAGTATACAATTGAATATGAACATAAATAAATAGTAATGAAAATATTTTAAAAACATATGTTATATTCTTATTGTCCTTACTCTTCTCAGAAGCTCATTTTTCTTCTGAGGCTATAGGAGTAGCTTTGTAATGGGTCTCTCCTTGTTCTGTATCTCCTTTTCTAGTCCATCTGCCCCACTAATATTATCATGTTGTGATTTAAATATTACTTTTCCTAGCTTAAAACCTTCAACATCACCCTCTTGGCTACTTCATAGAGCAAAAATACCTTAGCCCAACATTTAAAATCCTCTACAAAATGGGATCAACCTACATTTTCTAGCTATTTCTTCAATAGAAATATAGTGAAATATACCTATATGACTTAGAAACATAGCAATAGAAATACAGTGAAACATACCTATACCACTTAATTCAACTGATGAGTAAAAGTTCATGTTGCTTGCCGGGGTGGGAATGATATGAAAGAAAAATTGACAGAGTGGAGGAGAAGAAGAAAAGACTAGAAGAGAATTACTTTAGTTATAAAATGTTAATATCTCCTTAAAACTTTAGGGAAATTATTAACACATTAATTTGACATTTTTTAGTATACATGTATGGAGCTCCTGCTATATGCCAAGCACTGTGCTAAGCCCAAGGATTATAAAGATGAATAATAAGATGTAATATTTGCCTTCAAGGATGGTGGAGCTTAGTGAGAAAAAGATAAATAAACACATAGAGGAAAATGTACTAAGTATTATGACAGAAGTATCTGTGAAGTGCAACTAGAGAACTCAGGCAGGAGGCTCTGTAAAGGTTTCAGGTGAATTAGCTCTTCTACTGAGAAAACAGCATGAGAACTGAGAAAGGCAGGCCTTCATGCTTTCAGAGCATTTAAGGCCTCTTTTACTTGCAGATATTATAGTAATAAATTGATATATTTAAAATAGTATTAATGTCACACCATAGAAGTATCACCAACTTCTGCATATACTGCTTTAAATTATTTCACAAACATTTGATTAAACATGACAGTAAGTGCATGAAGTTATTTATTCCTCACCCTTGAAAATCATACTAAACTGACAGTAAAATAATTTTAAAACTTAGAACCCTGAAGGATGAAAAGGAGAGAAGAAGATGCCAGATAAGTTATTTCAAAAACATTCCTGAAATGTTATAATGTAAATGGATGAATAGTAACTGCTTAGCAAACCAGATAAAGCTGAAGCCTTAACCTGAATTGAAGAAAACCAATAGGAAACTGCCAATTTTACCTCAAAAACCCAAAGAGATTTTCCCTTCAAGCTAGAGAAACAGAATGGCCCAGGGAATACACGCACATAAAGATTTAGACTCTCTCAATTAAAAAGCCATGTTACCACTTCATCATACTAATAAACCACACCTATCAAGATACCTCATTATAAAGACTTCCCAAATTATTATTTGGCTCTTACTCTTAAATATAGAGAAACAGTCAAGGATCCTTCAACCTGTGGAGAAATATTCTAACATGAAAGGAAAAAAAACAAAACATAGAATCTGGAATCTGAATGAGGTTTCTGGAGAGAAAGTTGGGTTTCTGTACAGAAATACTAAGAGTGGAAGACAGTGAAGAGAAACTTTCAAAGTTTTGAGAGAAAATTATTTCTAATGTAAAACTGAATACCTTACCAGAGTATAGATCAAGTATAATTACAGAATAAAGATATTCTGGTATATTCAAGGCCACAAAATTTTACCTCCTCAGTATTCTTGTCAGGAATTTTCTTGGAAATGAACTCCACTGCAAAGTTGACAGTAAACCAAGAAAAACAACAGGAAAGAGAAACATAGCTCAGGAAAAAGATAAAGGGAAAATCTCAGACTGATGGTGAGGGCTCTAGAATGGACACCTTCAAGAAAAAATAATGTCTAAAAATATTGAAAGTAAAACAAATTCACTTAACATAGATGTGGCTATCAAAACCAGGAACAACTGTTGAAGGGAAGCTCAATATAGATGATGTGTTCACATGGAAAAATGGAGAGGGTTGAAGAATAAAGCACACAGATTATCAAAGGAAGAAAATTTGAAAATTGAAAAAGGTAACTCAGTGTGTTCAATAACTGACCTGTTAGAAAGTTTCATCTAACTGACCTGTTAGAAAGTTTTTAATGTTTAAAACATGATTTCAGGAAACTCTAGGAAAGGAAATATTTAAAATCAACTCCACTGACAAAGTTTTGCAAATTGATTTATTTGAAAAGCTCCTGATATACACTGACATACTTCTTCATTGATAGCTAGATAGGTAGAAAGGGTTTTTGCTTGTTGGAGACGTTATTGGTACCTTATTCTAATTACCGAAATAAATGTCATCGATGTGCGTCTCTCTTAAAAATTATGACAAAAAAATAAGAAAATAAATTGCCGTGTTTAACTATCCTCCTAAAGTTAAGGCTGGCCGAAAATTAAAATTTTTACCAAAACTACAAGGTCCCCTGAGACTCCCCAGAAATCTTACAATACCAGTCAGGCTAGTTTGAGTGGCTATTCCCTGCAACAAACTCTAATTGGTATGTGTAATAAAACCTAATATACATAAGTGAAACAAGATTTTGGGGGAAACTTAGTGATTATTTTTTAATTAAGACTACTTTACTGGGCCGGGCGCGGTGGCTCAGGCCTGTAATCCCAGCACTTGGGAGACCAAGGTGGGTGGATCACCTGAGGTCAGAGTTCAAGACCAGCTTGACCAACATGATGAAACGCAATCTCTACTAAAAATACAAAATTAGCCAGGCTTGGGTGGTGCGTGCCTGTAATCCCAGCTACTCAAGAGGCTGAGACAGGAGAATCGCTTGAACATGGGAGGCCAAGGTTGCAGTGAGCTGAGATCACACCATTGCACTGCAGCCTGGGCAACAAGAGTGAAACTCTCTCTCTCAAAAAATAAAAATAAATAAATAAATAAAAATAAAGAATACTTTACATGAAGCTGTATTTGAATACTTTACTGTATTTTCATTCCTACAGGAAAAGTCTGCAAGGGCAAAAAGAAACAGCTTATTCTTCACTTCATTCTAGCCTCACCTCAAACCTTCTCAAAGCACTTCAAACTTACTAGCTCATGAATTCAAAAACTTCATCAAGAAGCCAGGCCAGTTTAGAAAGCTGACCATCCACTTTGGGTCAATCTAAAGTAGAGAAAGAAAGTTATATTGTGGGCTAGGAATGCCTAATAGGCTCAGTGTCCAGCTAACAAGTGAAATAGATTTATTTACAAAAAAAAATAAGCTACCTCTTGTTTTCAAACAAAATCTATTTAAATTTACATAAAATTGGTCAAATTATGCTTTTTCCCTAAATTTAATGAATTTAATACTTATTAGCCCTCTTCCAGTTTTCAACAAACTAAGCAAATGCTCATCAGGGAACAATGAAAACTCAGTAATTAGTTCAAAATTTATAAACTTACATCTGAAGTCATTATCTGAATTCCTATAAATAAAAAACATAAAACTTAACTTTAACATAAAACTTAATTTTTCACCAGGGGAATATCATGTTCTCTCCAAATTAACCCACCCCTCCAAAACAAGAATAACCATTGTAACTATGCTTACATGGTTCATCTATATACAATGCCAAAATTAGTTTTCTGAGGCATTAAAAGGTACCACTTGTGTATATAACTATGAGCTTCACTAATAAGCCTTTTAAAGTTCTGGATTTCTTTTGATATGATAATAACCTAATTCAGAGGCATAGAGAAGGGATCCCAAATATGTTAACTACTTAAAATCGAGTAAAAGGGGTCCTAGTGTGCAATGTGAAATTTTCATATGTGAAAAAATATACCATCTATCATTTGGTAGTATTTAAGCTATTTGATAACTACCTTGGAAAGGAACTTTTTCCTCTTTGTGTTAAACTTCTTGCATTTTATTTAGAGTCATGTTCATCAAAGCCATTTCTGGGGCAAGGAATGAGCCTACACAAATAAGACAATTCCAAGAAAGATATTTTCTAATATCTTGACCAAAAATTATCCTTCCTTTCTCATCCTGGAACTACAGGGTGAGTTCATTTCAATACACTAACCATTACAAAATCATTTTAGAAGACCCTCAACAACAGTAAAATTGGCCTCATTGCAGTGTACTCACACTTTTTGTGCACAGGTCCAAGACATAAGGAGTCAAAACCACCTCTGATGCCTTCTGACAGATTGAAGATGAACCAGATTCCACAGGGTGTACACGCCAAGGACATCTAGAAGCCAAATGACAAAAAATTAACATCTCCAGATTCTGTCTGTGCAGACACAGGAGCAACACAGATTTATAAACTCTGAGTGTATCATCAAGAGAATCAAGTCAAATCCAGCTTTGTTCTCTTTCACTATTTCATCAAAAATAGCATCATATTCTAAAAACTGGGTTTTATATATCAAAAACTAACTTCTTTGTAATTTGTTTATGTTAGCCTTGGTTTTCATTTCAAATGGGACAGAATCTCAGACAGGGTGTTGACATTTTATGGAGCTTTTATTAAAGTATTTTATGAATTTTATAGCTAGAACTTTAACTCATTTGTGGAAAGTACATCTTAAGGTCATCTAAGCCAAGCTTTAGGGCAAGTGTCACCTGGGTTGAAGTTAAACCCCTTAAATATAAAATAGAGTTAATACTAACATCTGCATCTTGGGGATATTAGGATGGAATTTAGCACAGTAGCAGACACACAGTCTTTTTAAAATGTGAGGTTTATCATTTAAATTATTATTCTCATTCATTTAAAACTTACATATTTCTAAGAACCACACTTCTTACTCTCATTCCAGTTAGTTGCCCCTTTTTTAATCAATGGAGGCAGTTATTGTAGAAGATTGCTCCACAGTCAAAAGAGAAAGGTACGACATTTTAATGGTGAGCAAAAGAACTTTGAATGAGCTCAGGGACTACCTCAAAACCTACAGCAAAAGTAATTATCAGAGTCTCCAGAAACAAAATTAAAACAATTCTATAGCACCATGAGACATCTCATAAGGGTAGCAAGACCACATGTTAGGTGCTGCATTATATCCTTTAATTCCCTCTCCCTTACGCAATATCACTATATGAGTACAGCAGATGCCTTAGCTCTGCCTTAGCCCGCTTTTCCCACAAATCAGGGCCAAAGATAATGTCTATGAGAAATTTATTTGAAAATGCAACCTTGGGAAGTATGATCAAGAGATAAGAAAAATTAAATCAGATGAGGAGAAAGACAATATATATTACATTAAGTGGGATATATTATCAAGTTGGTGCCATTATGAGCAACTGGTTGTTTAATCTAGTCCGACGTTCTGAGAAACCTTATGAAACTGATTTCAGAACCATGTCTCCAGATAAAGAAAAGAGAAAGCAATAACTCATAGTCTCCTATTCCCCAGTGATCAAAGATCGCTCTGTATGTTGTTACCTTTCTTGCAATTCTAAGTTGCTCGTGAATGACTGTCAAACAGATTGCTACAGGTGTTCTCATGCCATGTGTTGGTGAGACACCATTAGTTTGAATCTGCATGGAATAAATCAAAGAAAATCATACAACTGATAAAAACAGCCATAGTTAAAATAAACATTGAGGATTTAAAATGATGCAAAAGAATTGAACATACAAAAATCAATCAATGTAATATACCACATTAATAAAATGAAGCAGGCAAACACATGGTCATCTCCATTGATGCAGAAAAGGGATTTTACACAATACAACATCTGTTCATATAAAAACATTCAACAAGCTGGGAATAGAAAAAAACGTTCCTCAAAATGACAAAAGGCACTTAGGAAAAACCCACATTATATTCAAAGACAAAGGATGAAAGCTTTTACACTGAGATCAGGAACAAGACACTCATGTCCACTTTCATCATTTCTGTTTAACCCTGCCCTGGAAGGTCCAGCAATAGCAATTAGGCAAGAAAAAAAAAATCGAAGCCATACAAATTGGAAAGAAGGAACAAAATTATTTCTATTCAGAGATAGCATTATTTTATATACAGAAAATCCTAAATAATCAAAGCAATTAGAGCTGATAAGTGTATTCATCAATGTTTCAGGATAAAGATCAACACACAAAAATCAGTTCTATTTCTATATGCTAGCAATTAACAATATAAGAATGAAATTAAGAAAACAATTTTGTTCATAATGGCATCAAAAAGAATAAAATATTTAGGAATAAATTTAATCAAGGAATTCCAAGACTTGTACACTGAAAATTACAAAACATTGCTAAAAGAAGTTAAAAGGCCTAAATAAAGAGAAAAACATTCCATTTCATTAATTGGAAGATTTATTATTAAGATATTAATACTAAGCAATCTACGGGCTAGGTACAATCCCAGACAAAATCCCAATGACCTTTCTTAGCAAAAATGGAAAAGTTATTCCTAAAATTCACATAATAATGGAACTACCCAACACTGGAGCATCCAAATATATAAAGCAAATATTATTAGAGCTAAACAGAGAGATAGACACCACTGCAATAGTAGCTGGAGACCTCAACACCCCACTTTCAGCGTTGGACAGATCTCCCAAACACAAAATCAACAATGAAACGTTAGATTTAAAAACTGCACTATAGATCGAATGAAACTAAAAGATATTTACAGAACATTTCATGCAATGGCTGCAGAATATATACACTTTTCCTCAACACATGGATCATTCTCAAGATAGACCATGTGTCAGGTCATATAAGAAGTCTTAAAACATTCAAAAAAATTGAAATAACATCAAGCATCTTCTCTGACCACATGGAATAAAACTAGAAATCAATAACAAGAGGAATTTTGGAAACTATATAAACACGTGGAAATTAACCAATATGCTCTGAATAAGCAATGGGTCAATGAAGAAATTAAGAATGAAATTGAAAAGTTTCTTGAAAAAATATTAATGGAAGCATAATTAAGCAAAACCTATGAGATACAACAAAAGCATTACTAACAGGGAAGTCTATACCTGTAACTGCCTACATCAGAAAAGAAGAAAAACTTCCAATAAGCAACCTAATGATACATCTTAAAGAACTAGAAAAGCAAGAGTAAACTAAACCCATAATTAGTCAGAAAAAAAGAAATAATAAAGATCAGAGAAAAATAAGTGAATTTGAAGTGAAGAAAACAATACAAAAGATTAATGAAACAAAAAATTTGTTTAAAAAAGATAAGCAAAATAGTCAAACCTTTAGCCACACTACCTAAGAAAAAAAGAAAGACTCAAATAAACAAAATTGGAGATGCAAAAGGAGACATTACAACTGAGTGCAGAAATTCAAAGGATCATTAGTGGCTACTGTGAGCAACTATACGTCAATAAATTGGAAAATCTAAAAAAAAAAAAATGGGCAAATTCTCGGACAAATACAACCTACCAAGGTTGAACTGTTAAGAAATACAAAATCTGAACAGACCAATAACAAGTAATGGGATTGAAGCTGTAATAAGAAGTCTCCCATAAAAGAAAAAAAAGCCCAGGACCTGATAGCTGATGGCTTCACTCCTGAATTCTACCAAACATTAAAAAAAGAACTAATACCAATCCTATTCAAAGTATTCCAAAGATTAGAGGAGAAGGGAATACTTCCAATCTCATTTTATGAGGCTATTATTACCCTAATACCAAAACCAGACAAATATACATCCAAAAGAGAAAACTCTAGGCCAATATCACTGATCAATATTGATACAAAAATCCTAAAAAATGTACTAGCAAGGCAAATTCAACAACACATTTAAACATTATTCATCATGACCACGTGGAATTTATCTCAGGGATGGAAGAATGGTTAAACATATGCAAATCAACAATGTGATACATCACATCAACAGAATGAAGGATAAAAACCATATAATCATTTCAATTAATGCTGTAAAAGCATTTGATAAAATTCAATACTGCTTCATGATAAAAACCCTCAAAAACCCATGATAGAAGGAACAAGCCTCAACATAATAAAAGCCTTATAGGACAGACCCACAGCTAGTATCATAGCAAAAGGGTAAAAACTGAAAGCCTCTCCTCTAAGGTCAAGAACATGAGAAGGATGCTCACTTTCACCACCGTTGTTCAACATAGTACAAGAAGTCCTAGCTGTAGCAATTAGACAAGAGAAAGAAATAAAGGGCATCCAAATTGGAAATGAAGAAATCAGATTATCTCTGTTTGCAGATGATGGAATCTTATATTTGGAAAAGCAAAGACTCCACAAAAAAACTATTAGAATGAATAAAATTCAGTAAAGTTGCAGAATACAAAATCAACATACAACAATCAGTAGCATTTCTATATGCCAATAGCTAACATTGTGAAAAAGACATCAAAAAGTAATTCCATTTATAATAGCGACAAATAAAATAAAATGCCTAGGAATTACTTAACCAAAGAAGTAAAAGATCTCTGGAATAAAAACTATAAAACACTAATGCAAGAAATTGAAGAAGACACCAACAAATGGAAAGATATTCCATCTTTAAAGATTAGAAGAATCAATAGTGTTAAAATGGCCACACTACCCAAAGCAATCTATAGATTTAATGTAATCTCTATCACAACACCAAAGACATTCTTCACAGAAATAGAAAAAACAGTCCTAAACTTTATATGGAACCACAAAAGACCTGAAATAGCCAAAGCTATTCTGAGCAAAAAGAACAAAACTGAGGGAATCACTTTACCTTACTTTAAATTATACTGTGGAGCTGTAGTAACCAAAACAGCAAGGAACCAACATAAATACAGACACATAGATCAGTGGAACAGAATAGAGAACCGACAGATAAAACCCAAACATTTACAGTAAACTCATTTTTGACAAAGGTGCCAAGAACACACATTGGGAAGAGAAACTGTCTCTTCAATAAATATTGCAGAGAAAACTGGATTTGAAGAAGAGTGAAACAAGACCCCTATTTCTTGCTTAAAATCACAATGGATGAAAGACTTAAATTTTAGACCTCAAACTATGAAACCACTAAAAGAGAACATTGGGAAAACCCTCCAGGACCTTGGTTTGGGCAAAGACTTCTTGGGTAATACTCCACAAGCACAGGCAACCAAAGCAAAAATGGACAAATGGCATCACATCAAGTTAAAAACCTTCTGCACAGCAAGGGAAACAATCAACAAAGTGAAGAGACAACCCACAGAATAAAAGAAAATATTTGCAAACTTCCCATCTGACACATGATTAATAACCAGAATATACAAGGAACTCAAACAATTCTATAGGAAAATATCTAACAATCCAATATTTTAAATGGGCAAAAAATCTGAATAGACATTTCTCACAAGAAGACATACAATGGCAAACAGATATATGAAAAGGTGCTCAAAATCATTGATCATCAGAGAAATACAAATCAAAACTACAATGAAATATCATCTCACCCCAGTTAAAATGGCTTATATGCAAAAATCCAGGCAATAACAAATGCTGGTGAAGATGTGGAGTAAAGGGAACCCTGGTACAATGTTAGTGGAAATGTAAATCAGTACAACCACTATGGAGAAGAGTTTGGAGGGTCCTCAAAAAAAATTTGAAATAGTTGATTTCCCCTGGTTGGCAAGATGGTCAAATAGGAACGGCTCTGGTCTGCAGTTCCCAGTGAGATCAATGCAGAAGGCAGGTGATTTCTGCATTTCCAACTGAGGTAACCAGCTCATCTCACTGGAACTGGTTAGACAGTGGGTGCAGCCAACGGACGGCAAGCCAAAGCAAGGTGGGGCATTGCCTCACTTTAGAAGTGCGAGGGGTCAGGGAACTCCCTTCCCTCACCAAGGGAAGCTGTGAGGGACCCTGCCCAGCCTGGATACTACAATTTTCCCACAGTCTTCGCAACTCGCAGACCAGGAGATTCCCTCAGGTACCTATGCCAACAGGGCCCTGGGTTTCAAGCACAAAACGGGGCGGCTGTTTGGGCAGACAGTGAGCTAGCTGCAGGAATTTTTCTTTCACACCCCAGTGGCACCTGGAACACCAGCAAGACAGAAACATTCACTCACCTGGAAGGGGGCTGAAGCCAGGGAGCCAAGTGGTCTAGCTCAGTGGATCCCACCCCTATGGAGCCCAGCAAGCTAAGATCCAATGCTTGAAATTCTTGCTTCCAGCACAGCAGTCTGAAGTCTGAAGAAAAATACTCATTTTATGATGCCAGCATCATCCTGATACCAAAACCTGGCAGAGACACAACAAAAAAAGAAAATTTCAGGCCAATATCCTTGATGAACATCAATGCGAAAATCCTCAATAAAATACTGGCAAACTGAAACCAGCAGCACATCAAAAAGCTTATCCACCACGATCAACTCAGCTTCATCTCTAGGATGCAAGGCTGGTTCAATGTGCACAATTAATAAACGTAATCCATCACATAAACGGAACCAGTGACAAAAACCACATGATTATCTCAATAGATGCAGAAAAGGCCTTCGATAAAATCCAACAACCCCTTCATGGTAAAAAAAACTCTCAATAAACTACACATTGATGGAACATATCTCAAAATAGTAAGACCTATTTATGACAAACCAACAGCCAATATCATACTGAATGGGCAAAAGTTGGAAGCATTCCCTTTGAAAACCAGCACAAGAAAAGGATGCCCTCTCTCACTGCTCCTATTCAACATAGTAGCTATACAGACCAATGGAAAAGAACATATGGATTTTGTTTTTAATCCTGTTTACATGGTGAATCACATTTATTGATTTACATATGTTGAACCAACCCTGTATCTTGGGAATGTAGCCTACCTAATCATGGTGAATTAAGTTTCTGTTGTGCTATTGAATTTGGTTTGCTAGTATTTTGTTGATGTCTCTCTCTTTTTGATTCAGTTTTGGTGCAGTGTATGTATCTAGAAATTTATTAATTCCTTTAGGTTATCTAATTTTTTGGCATATAATTATTCATAATAATCCCTTATGGGCCTTTTAAATTTCTGAAGCACCCACTGTTATGTTTCCTTTTCAGTTTTATTTGAGTCTTCTCTCTTTTTTTCTTAGTCTAGCTAAGAGTTTGTTGATTTTATCTTTAAAATCACATAACATAATGACCTCCAGTTCCAGCCATATTGTTGCAAATGACAGGATCTCATTATTTTCTGTCTGAGCAATACTCTATTGTGTATATCTATCACACTTTCTTTATCCAAGAGTCCTTTATGATAAAAAAAAAATTTTCAAGAAACTAGGCATTGAAGAAACATACCTCGAAATAATTAGTGCCATGTATGTAAAAGTAACAGTCATCAGTGAAGAATTTTTTATATAGTGAAACTAAACTTCATAAATGAAGGAAAAATACAGTCTTTTTCAGACAAACAAATGCTGAGAGAATTTGCCACTATTAAGCCAGCAACACAAGAACTGCTAAAAGGAGCTCTAAATCTTAAATCAAATCTTCAAAATACACCAAAATAGAATTTCTTTAAAGCATACATCTCACAGGACTTATAAAACAAAAACACAATGAAAAAAAGGTATTCAAGCAACAAAGAGCATGATGAATAGAATAGTACCTCACATCTCAATAGGAACATTGAATGTAAATTGCCTAAATGCTCCACTTAAAAGATACAGAATGGCAGAATGAGTAAGAATTCACCAACCAAGTATCTGCTGTCTTCAAGAGACTCGCCTAACAAGTAAGGGCACATGTAAAGTTAAAGGGGTAGAAAAAGATATCCATAAAAATGGACACAAAAGCGAGCAGGAGTCACTATTTTCATATCAGACAAAACAAACTTTAGAGCAACAGCAATTTAAAAAGACAAAGAGAGGCATTTTATAATGATAAAATAACTTGTCCAACAGGAAAATATCACAATCCTAAATATATATGCACCTAACACTGGAACTCCCAAAATTATAAAACAAATACTACTAGACCCAAGAAATGAGACAGAGAGCAACATGATAATAATGGAGGACTTCAATAGTGACAGTACGAGACAGGTCAAGACAGAAAGTGAACAAAGAAACAACGAATTTAAATTATACCATATAACAAATGGACTTAACAGATATTTATAGAACATTTTACCCAACAACTGCAGAATATACATTCTATCCATCAGCACATGGAACATTCTCCAAGATAGACCACCAAGATAGACAATATGATAGGCCACAAAGCAAGTCTCAATAAATTTAAGAAAATTAAAATTATATTAAGGACTCTCTCAGACCACAGTCGGATAAAATTAGAAATCAACTCCAAAAGGAACCCACAAAACCATGCAAATACATGAAAATTAAATAACCTGCTCCTGAATGATCATTGAGTCAACAATGAAATTAAGATGGAAATTTAAAAATTCTTTGAACTGAATAATTGTGACACAACCTAACAAAACCTCTGGAATAAGCAAAGACAGTGTTAGGAGGAGGGTTCATAGCCTTAAATGCCTACATCAAAAAGTCTGAAAGAATGCAAATAGATAACCTAAGGTCACACCTCACAGAACGGGAGAAACAAGAACAAACCAAACCCAAACCCAGCAAAAAAAAAGAAATAACAAAGATCAGAGCAGAACTAAATGAAATTGAAACCAAAAAATACAAAAGATAAATGAAACAAAAAACTGATTCTTTGAAAAGATAAATAAAATTGATAGACCATTAGTGAGATTAACCAAGAAAAGAAGAGAGAAGATTCAAATAAGCGAAATGGGAGATATTACAACTGATACAAGAGAAATACAAAAGATCATTCAAGGATACTGTAAATACCTTTACACAGATAAACTGAGACCTAGAGGAGAGTGATAAATTCCTGAAAATATACAGCCCTCCTAGATGTAAAAAGAAAGAATGGAAACTCTGAACAGACCAATAACAAGCAGCAAGATTGAAATGGTAATAAAAAAAAATTGCCAAGAAAAAAAAAGTCCAGAACCAGATGGATTCACAACTGAATTACATAAGACATTCAAAAAAGAACTGGTACCAGTCATACTGACACTATTCCACAAGATAGAGAAAAAGGGAATATTCCCTAAGTCATTCTATTAAGCCAGTATCACCCTACTACCAAAACAAGGAAATGACATAACAAAAAAAAGAAAACCACAGAACAATATCCGTGATGAATATAGAGGCAAAAATCCTTAAGAAAATACTAGCTAACCAAATCCAACAGCGTATCAAAAAGATAATCCACCATGATCAAGTGGGTTTCATACCAGGATGCAAGGATGGTTTAACATACACAAGTAAGTAAATGTGATACACCAGATAAACTGATTATTTTTAAAAAATCACATAATCATCTCAATAGACACAGAAAAAGAATTTGACAAAATCCAGCATCCCTTTATGAATAAAACCCTCAGCAAAATCAGCATCTAAGGAATATAACTTAATGTAATAAAAGCCATCTATAAAAAACCCACAGCCAACATAATATTAAATGGAGAAAAGTCAAAAGCATTCCTCCTGAGAACTGGAACAAGACAAGGATGCCCACTCTCACAACTTCTATTTAACATGGCACTAGAAGTCCTAGTCAGAGCAATCAGACAAGAGAAAGAAATAAAGGGCATCAAAATCGATAAAGAGGAAGTCAAACTGTTGCTGTTCGCTGATCATATGATTGTATAACTAGAAAACCCTAAAGATTCATCCAAAAAGCTGCTAGAACTGATAAATGAATTCAGCAAACTTTCAGGAAACAAAATTAATATACACTAATCTGTAGCTCTGCTATACATGAACAGTGACCAAGCTGAGAATCAAATCAAGAAGTAGACCCCTTTTACAATAGCTGCAAAATAAAAAAATACTTAGGAATATACCTAACCAAGGAGGCGAAACACCTCTACAATGAAAACTACAAAACCCTGCTGAAAGAAATCATAGATGATGCAACAAATGGAAACACATCCCATGCTCATGGCTGGGTAGAGTCAATATTGTGAAAATGACCATACTGCCAAAAGCAATCTACAAATTCAATGCAATTCCCATCAAAATACCACCATCCTTCTTCACAGATCTAGAAAAAAAATCCTAAAATTCATATGGAACCAAAAAATAGCCCACATAGACAAAGCAAGATTAAGCAAAGTGAATAAATCTAGAGGCATCACATTATTCAACTTCAAACTATACTATAAGGCCATAGTCACCAAAACAGCATGGTACTGGTATAAAAATAGGCACAGAGACCAATGGAACAGAATAGAGAACCCAGAAATAAACCTAATACTTATAGCCAACTGATCTTTAACAAAGCAAACAAAAACATAAAGTGGGAAAAGGACACCCTATTCAACAAATGGTGCTGGGATAACTGGTAAGCCACATGTAGAAGAATGAAATTGGATCCTCATTTCTCACCCTATACAAAAATCAACTCAAGATTGATCAAAGACTTAAATCTAAGACTTGAAACCATAAAAATTCTAGAAGATAACATCAGGAAAAATCCTTTTAGACATTGGCTTAGGCAAAGACTTCATGACCAAGAACCCAAAAGCAAATGCAACAAAAACAAAGATAAATAGATGGGACTTAATTAAACTAAAAAGCTTCTACACAGCAAAAGAAACAATCAGCAGAGTAAACAGACAACCCACAGAGTGGGAAAAAATCTTCACAATCTATACAGCCAACAAAGGACTAATGTCCAGAATCTACAAGAAACAAACAAATTAGCAAGAAAAAAAATCCCATCAAAAAATGGTCTAAGAACACTAACTGACAATTATAAAAAGAAGATATACAAATGGCCAATAAATATATGAAACAATGCTAACCATCAGTAGTGATCAGGGAAATGCAAGGCAAAACCACAATGTGATACCACCTTACTTCTGCAAGAATGACCATAATAAAATAATAATAATAACAGATGTTGGCATGGATGTGATGAAAAAGGAACACTTTTCCACTGTTGGTGGAAATGTAAACTAGTACAACCACTATGGAAAACACTGTGGAGATTCCTGAAAGAACTAAAAGTAGTACTACCATTTGATCCAGCAATCTCACTACTGGGTATCTACCCAGAGGAAAAGAAGTCCTTATATTAAAAAGATACTTGCACACACACACACACACTCTCACACACATGCAAGATACTTGCACAGCACAATTTGCAATTGCAAAAATATGGGGCCAGCCCAAATGCCCATCAATCAATGAGTGGATAAAGAAATTGCAGTATATATATATATATATATATATATATATATATATATATATATATATATATCATGGAATACTACTCACCCATAAAAAGGAATGAAATAATGACATTCATAGCAACCTGGATGGAATTTGAGATCATTATTCTAAGTGAAGTAACTCAGGAATGGAAAACCAAACATCATATGTCCTCACTCATAAGTGATAGCTAAGCTATGTGGATGCAAAGGCTTAAGAATAATACAGTGGACTTTGGGGACTTGGTGGAAAGAGTGAGAGGGGGTGAAGGATAAAATACTACATATTGGGTACAGTGTACACTTCTCGGGTGATGGATGCGCCAAAATCTCAGAAATCACCACTAAAGAGCTTATTCATGTAACCAAACACCACCTGTTTCCCAAAAACCTATAATTTTAAAAAATGAATTAAAAAAAAAACCAGAAGAGGATAAGTCACACAGAAAAGAAGGCAATGTGAGATGGAGACAGAGATTGGAGTGATATGGCCGGAAGCCAAGGAATTCCTGGAGCCACCAGAAATTGACGAGGTAGGAAAGGATGCCTCCCTAGAGCCTTTGAAGGGAGTGTGGCCTTGCCAATTGACACCTTTATTTTGAACTTCTACCCTCCAAAATTTTGAAAGAATAAATTTCTATTGTTTTATGCCACCAAATTTGTGGTGATTATCGTAGCCCTGGGATATTAATAAGGGGACAATCCTTTTGTGCCTTAAATTAGCCAAGATGGTGTGACCGACTGTCACTGTGGCCCTTGTTTTTCCTGTAAGGGCAGACGTCCTGTTTTTGAAGAAGCTGTCCTATGGTGACCTCAGGACTTGGCTGTAAGTTAAGGTAAAGATCCTCTGTGCTCAAGCCAGCAACCAACCTTCAGCTGAGATTAAATGATGTGCAGGTCACATGTGAACTCTGAGTCATATTGTCTTAGATGAGAAGAAAAAAATAATACAAATATCTTTGACTGATCTCTAGCTCTTATGAAGCTGATACTTCCATTTCATTGTACATTAAAACATAAGAGTAAGGTTAGGCCAGGCACGGTGGCTCACGCCTTTAATCCCAGCACTTTGGGATGCCAAGGTGGGCAGATCACAAGGTCAGGAGATCGATACCATCCTGGCTTACACAGTGAAACCCAGTCTCTACTAAAAATACAAAAAATTAGCCAGGCGTGGTGGCAGACGCCTGTAGTCCCAGCTACTGGGGAGGCTGAGACAGGAGAATAGCATGTATCCGGGAGGTGGAGCTTGCGGTGAGCCAAGATTGCGCCACTGCACTCCAGCCTGGGCAACAGAGCGATATTCTGACTCAAAAAAAAACAAAACAAAACAAAAAACAACAACAACAACAAAAAAAAAAAACAAAAAAACAAACAGTAAGGTTAGCCCACATAAGAGAGTCAACTCTAACTTTTCCAAGGATGTAAAATGAGAAATAACTCCCTCAAATTACAGAAGCTATGATTCTACAAAAATCAGCAATTGGCCTTTAGCAATCTTCCCACAAGGTATCAATCATTACCTTGCTTGGACCTCTGCTGGAGCAGTCCCAAGTAGCTTATTACAAGAGAGTACCCCATTCATACCTCTCCCTTTCTACTGTGTCAGGGAGAGGAGACTTTATTAGAGAGAGAGAGAGGGACAGAGAGGGCATGGGGAAGAGAGAGACTGTGTGTGTGTGTGTGTGTGTGTGTGTGCGCGTGCACGCACTCGTGTATAAGTCATAGAATAACTTGTATAGGAGCTGAGTGCTATATATGTATAGATCACATAGACAATTCATAATTTCCTCAACAACCTTGCATGAAGTATCATTATATTTGCTTTATAGAATAGCAAACTGAGCCTTCAAAATAATGTGACAAATGTCACAGAGTACACAGGGGACAACATCAGTATTTGAACCCATGCTACATAACCACAAATACCGTGTTCTTTCCACTGTTCCACACTCTACCAATGCGAATAATGCTTTAAAAATTTTAGAAAAAGTAAAATAAATAAATAAAAGCAGGTATATTCAGTTTAAAATTCGGTACAGCTTTTCTAAATTTGAATCTGTCATTTATTTATAATTTCACAATGAATCCCTTGAATATGTTAATCAAGACATATGTACTATGAAACAATTTTTCCAAAAAATATATGTTCTTACTTTCACTATGTTTGTAATACAATTTATTCATGTTAAAAGGGAGGCATGGCCGGGTGCAGTGGCTCATGCCTGTAATCCCAGCACTTTGGGAGGCTGAGGCGGGTGGATGACCTGAGGTCGGAAGTTTGAGACTAGCCTGACCAACATGGAGAAACTCTGTCTCTACTAAAAATACAAAATTAGCTAGGCGTGGTGGCACATGCCTGTAATCCCTGCTATTCGGGAGGCTGCAGCAGGAGAATTGCTTGAACCCAGGAGGCGGAGGTTACAGTGAGCCGAGATCGTGCCATTGCACTCCAGCCTGGGCAATAAGAGCAAAACTCCCTCTCAAAAAAAAAAAAAAAAAAAAGAGACATGTTTTGTTCCCCACTCCCCACTATAAGAGATCATGTATATATGCTCTTCTCAACATAGCTATAAAAGGCAATTAAACTGTGCCTAATAATTTTACAGTTCATTTGCAGCCTCTAAAAGAACAAGGTTATATATGTTACCCCTTTTATTGGATCTTTCTGAGATCAGAAAGGAATAATTTTTCATTGATTAAGACAGTTAATCTCCTACATACTAATTTATTAAGCTATGAAACCACTGCAATCACTTTTCAGCTATCACTCATTCATGCACAAAAAGAAAAGTATAGATGCCACTTAGAAAAAAAAAAGACTTGATACTAAGAAATATTTGTGTTTATTTTGGAGTAAGAGCTACTAAAAACCCACCCATATAATATCAACAGTAAACACACACACACAAATATGCAAACACATACACACACCCTTATTATCTGTAATATCTTCCTTTCATTCAATAATGATTCAGTGAAAGAAAACTATCATTAAACAGTATGAAAATATAATGCATCAGAAGCTAGCATGAAGCTAAAAACAAATCTATGCATTGTACTTGGAGTAAAGCCAAGCATAAAAGAAACATATTATATATTTGACTCTGCAGCAAGTATGTACTAGGCTAGAATGGATAAGAACATCTATGTAAAATTTACTACTCAGTGTATAGTGTATGCAACTGAAGAATCACCATTACTCAGTAAATACGCATTTACTAAAAATACGATGAACACTAAGACTATCAGAGAAAAAATAAATAGGAAAATACTGGCCAGGCGTGGTGGCTCACCCCCGTAATTCCAGACTTTGGGAGGCTGAGGCGGGTGGATTGCCTGAGGTCAGGAGTTCAAGACTAGCCTGGCCAACATGGTGAAATCCCATCTCTGGTAAAAATACAAAACTTAGCCAGGCATGGTGGTGAACGTCCATAGTCCTAGCTACTCAGGAGGCTGAGGCACGAGAATCACTTGAACCTGGGAGGTGGAGGTTACAGTGAGCCGTGAGCCGAGATTGCACCACTGCACTCCAGTCTGGGCGGCAGAGCGAAACTCCACCTCCAAAAAAAAAAAAAAATACTATACTCTATTAATAGATTTCAAAGTTAAAGGAGATTATAAACTTACAGAATTAAAATAGACAAATGTAACTGCATATACAGACATATTTGAAGTCTCACATAAACATAAATTCATTTCTTTAGACTTTATCACATAGTAAGTGAACCCAGGGCTAGGTACAGGGAAAACAGAGGTGAATGGGAGAGACAAGATGTCTCTCTGCATGCTTACTGGACCTTTATGCATAAATCTCTAAAAACATGCACAAACATCAAAAAGGCAAAGATGAACAACCATGAAGGGTGATGAGAGAGGTGCCGAGGATTTAGTGGTGACCCACTAGACTCCAGTGTACAGTGATACCTATTAAGCTAATAATATCAACAATTCCTGTATTTTTATGCAGCTTTACTGAGATATGTAATACATCATACACAAGGGTCTCTACTAATTATCTTGGACTTTTGTTTATGTAACGACTATACTACTGCCATACAAATTTTCTTTAGCTATAAACTGGCAGGGGAGAGGGCAAACAGTGCCTAATTTGGCTAATCAGCTAATTCTGATTTCCCTGATAACATCCTTAGATACACAGAACCATGCCTCATAGGTCCATGTAGGATCTAGATTGTCTAATTGCTCAGGGGCCCTGTGAAGAACACAAAGTCTGCATTTCCCAGCCCTCCTCACAGTTAGAGGGAACCACATAGCCGAGTTATGACCAACAGAATATAGATGGAAGTGATGTATGCCACTTCAAATCCTGCCTCCTAAAGCCTGCTGCACAAGACACCACTCTCTCTTTTTCTATCCACTGCCTATAGGATAGCAGGGTGAGCTGGTATCCCTAAATGTTGAAGGGGATAGCATTAAAGCAAGAGGAGCTTCTGGATCCATTAATGACCAGATGGTACAAAACTTTCTGTACCGTTTTTCATCATGGACTAGGATCAATGGGTTTCCTCCTTAGTCCTTGGTCACTTCAGATTAGTCTAGCAACCAAATTCCTAAAAGCTTAATAAGCAATATAATGTTATCCTTGTCTATAAAGAACTATGATACAGAAAAATTCAGAGTAGAAAGAAGACATAACAGATTTTTCAAAGGAAAAGCAACATGGAAGCTGACACTCTTCCTTGAGGCAAAATTGTTCTTTCCTAAGCCCATATTGTTGCTTGTGCTATTCTCCACCACCCCTACAACAATCATGCAAGTATCAACCCACTCCTACTGCCTGTGCCAGCTACTGATCTGTCTTACATTGTTTTTATCAACCCATATCCTTTCAGGCCCAATACTGAAATCACCTTCTCAGGAAGTCTTCCTTAAGTCACCTCCCCATCCTATCTTTGTATCTTCCCTTTACATCGTCTCTGTATACCTGGCATCTAAACAATTCAAGTGAAACAACCCCCAATTAGTGCCTCAAAGGCAGGAATCTTCAATGGTGGTATCTTTAACACAGAGCCCAAAACTGTGCCCAAAGTAGCTATTCATAACTGTTTATTGAATCAATTCTAAGTAACTGACATTATTATATAATCAATATAATATAACGTTTAAAATTTTTATTTTTGGCAGGGTGCGGTGGCTCACGCCTTCAATCCCAGCACTTTGGGAGGCTGAGGCAGGCAGATCACGAGGTCAGGAGATCGAGACCATCCTGGCAAACACGGTGAAACCCCGTATCTACTGAAAACACACACACATAAAAAAAGCCGGGTGTGGTGGCGGGCGCCTGTAGTCCCAGCTACTCGGGAGGCTGAGGCAGGAGAATGGCATGAACCTGGGAGGCGTAGTTTGCAGTGAGCCAAGATCATGCCACTGCGCTCCAGCCTGGGCGACAGAGCGAGACTCCATCTCAAAAAAAACAAAACAAACAAACAAACAAACAAAACCTTTTATTTTTATCTTTCCAACAAGATTTCAAGCTGCTTGAAGACAGAGTTTATTGAAGACAGGGTTTATTATTTACCTTTTTCCCCATAAGCCTACTTCTGTATCTTGTATCATGTAGATAATCAAATAAGCATATTAAACAACCACCTGGAATTCATTATTTGCATTTTTACAAATGCTTAGAGATAAATTAGAAAACTAACATTTACTTAGGGACAAAAGGAAAATGTAGGCATTCTAGTTATTAATATATGCCTTTCCCTCTAATTCTGACATATTTTCCTGGGCCATGGGTAAAAAGAAAATGTTAGAAATATTCAGGAACATGTACTGAAGGAATACTCTGAAAAATGCCACATTATTTCATATAGAAAATTAAAATAAACAAAAGGCATTCTTTCCATTTTTAACTGGTACATAATTAACCCCCTATCAGAAGGTTATAACCTTGTTCATAATTTTTTATTTCCCATTATTTCTAACACTAGCCACTTCTCCTTATATTACTCCATACTATGCCTACTACCACATAAGCATTACCATCCATTGGCAAGAATATCCCTATTATGAGAAAAAAGAATTTCAAGCTACTTTAGTGGTACACTTCTTAAGGTCATCTAAATTTCTTCAATTAATTTTTGATGCCCTATCTACCTTCTGATTTTAATTTGGATTCATATATATATAATTTCCATATACACACACACATATATACATATACACACACATACACGTGCATGCCCCCACGCACACACACACACATACACTAATGTACGATTTCCCCATAAAAAGAGGCTGTTCATGAATAGATGAGTATTTCATTAGACATGACAATAAATTTCTCATTTACCTTTATGAATTGGCATTCTAGGATATTCATCAATAACTGAAATATGTTAAACATGTGCTTTCACACAAAGACACTAAGCCACTGGCTGCGTGCTAACAATGTAGATTATGGTCAACTGGACAAGATAAGTAAAACCACCCATAAGGAACCTCATGTTGGCCATCTAGGTTTCCTCTCAGGAAATATCCACTCTATTATGCAGTTTAAATCTCTGAAGCACCTGATAAGCTACTGTTGTGTATTACTGCCTACTTATCTCAGGTCTTATCTGTTGGAGAGGAGGTAGTTACATAAACTAGACAAGGTTTAAGATTCCTCCCTATCTCAAGGATCCATGTCTCTAGGCTATAGGAGCCTCCAACAGAGACTATATTTTACAATATTTTCTATCCCCCTACAATCCAGCATAGTTCTATATAGAATAATCAGTATGAACTAGTTGGATTGTTTATTGATTTACCTTAGGCTCTAAAGTTATTGTTTCTCCTTTATCCTAATTAGCTTTGAGGAGGGTATGGAGACTAGAAGTGATGGGAAGGAGAACGTGTGCTCAACAGAGTGAATACTATATGTCAGGCACTCAGGTACTTAATCCTAACAGTTTTGGAGATGGATGCTATTTTATTTCCTTTTCACCAATGAAGAATTTGTAGCTCAGGCCAATTATTTCATAATCACAATGGTAGCAATATAAACATCATTGGCAGTATTTGAATTCAGGATTGCCTATTTAACCCTCCTGGCAATCCTCTGCCAGTTCCTGCACTGTTTACCACCAGCAACTTGCAGAATTCCATCACAAAATCAAGCCAGTAAGTAATTTACAAGATGAGTAGCTCTAAGGTTATTCTTTGAGCTAACAGGAACTCTAACAAGCTCGTAATCATGTCGAACTTTACAGTGTCTTTTACTCCTCATATTTGCCTGAAACTTAGAGATACTTGTTTAGTAGGAGGCTCACCTTAAGAGTTTTTATTTTAAAACTACATCTATCTCATCTGCTTAAGAGGGTCAACTCACATTCCTTTTCTTTCCCTGGATTAGGAAGGAGAAATTGAAAACAAAAAAAGTATTTCAGGAATAATCAAATAAGACTTTACTGGAGACAGAGGCCAGGAATGATGGAGAACACCAAGAAGAAATGATTTTAATGCCTATGAGGCTGAGAAAAGGAATTGGGAACTTCCAAGAAATATATTACTTAAATTAGAAAAAATGCACTGTGTAATCCATGCCCTTTCTTTTCATTTTCCTAAATTTTACTTTATTCATTAAGTTCATGTGTGAGTGAAATTTAATTTAAGGGAACTCAAAGAAGAGTACAATGAGATAACTAACATAAAGATATTAAATGAAGGGGCATTTACATTTTAATAGGAGAAATTAAGTCTCTGCCCCAATCCTACTGTATAGTTGTCAAACAAATACATAATTGGGTTTAAAATGATTGGCCTGTCTGAGACAGTGACATGACCCAGCCAGGCTCTGACCAAAATTTTCTGAATTTTGAAGTTGCCTTAGGAGTGTAGCTTACAATTTCACCAACACACTTATCTGAATCTAGAGTATTGGCACTAACTGCAGTTTAAAGAACAAAGTACCAGGAAAGTTTGGACATGTGAGCTTCATTTTGTATTTCACTACTGAATACAAATTAATGAATTGAAAACCTGTATCAGCAAAACAGTAACATATTGTTTTAATGCTGTTATTTTTGGCACTGAACACTTTCCACATACACATTTGATTTACAAATTTCAACTTTCATTTTTTGCTAAAATATGTTACCTTTATTAAATGTTGGAGATTTTTAACCTACTCATTCTAAAAAATACTGTATTTCTTGAAGTTAGTATCATACCTTAGGCACTAGATCTGCACATTCTAGGTGATCAAGGTAGATTCCTCATGAGTCTACCTAGTGAAGTATGTAGTTTATCAGATAACACGTTTTTCAAAATAACACAAATAATTTCATAACTTCAACATGTGATGGTGTTTGTTATTTTAACATTCTTACTTGCCAATAAATTGATAATACTTCACTGGTCTCTCGATTTTTTTTTTTTTTTTTTGGCCCATGAAGTATAAACATTTGGAAACCACTGGAACTAGGATGTAAGAATAGCTCAAGGAACTAGAGAAAAAGGGGAATCTTAGTCATGAGGGAATGAAAGAAACTGCATTTAGAAGGCAAGAATGTTGTAATCAGAATAGATATTTTTAGGGTTCAAGATCTAAATGATAGAATAGTTCTGGCAGTGACATCTTTAATATACGACTAAGTAAACGAGCTGCTGAAGCACACGGGAGATAACTATTATTTGCTGTGGATGTGTTATGTATTTAATCACTACTACAGATAAATGAGACATACTATTATTATCATTCTACAAGCAAAGAAAATAAGGCAAGAAGAGGTTAAGAAACTTGTCCAAGGTCACATAGCTACAACGCAGTCTGTATTCAGATATCAGTCTTTTCAACTTCTATGCTCTATTCTCTCCAGTGAAAAAGATGCTTCAAATAATAGAAACCAAAGTAGAGTGAGACTAGGGAAATAGATGCATCATCAAGATGATAGCTTAGAAAAAGACTATTAACCAAGTTGAAAGATCTACAATAAATACCAATCAATATATAAGAAGCTTGTTGGAGTTTATTGGCCACTAGTAAGCAATATAAACTGAATTTAAATCAGAGACCTCCAGAATACGATGTCAGATTTTCCCAAGGGCCAATGAGGTTAATTTTTTCCTTTTGCATTTCCCAGAAGTAATTAAATTCAGTTACCTATCATCACTGAGAAATACGTTTCAAAATGTAGTTTTACTTTCTTTGTGATAGTAATACCTCCTTAGCAAGAAAGTTATCAACTCTTAATTTCACTCCCACTACGAAATAGAAAAAAAAATTCAATTTTTCCTGTCAGGGAGGAACTTTATAACTTTTGTAAATTTTTAAATCTAGCTGTATTACTTTGGTTAATCTCTCCTAGGAGATGATATCTAGAATCAATTGGAATACAGTGTATAAGACACATAAATCAGTCTATAATCATCATATAGAATAAATATTTATAATTCTTTGAGATCCAAAAGTCCAATCAAGTTATCATTTTTACAATGGCATATCTCTTAGTTATTCATCAAACACTATAATCTTTAACTGTCATGAAGCCACAACATGTCCTCTTCCTGTTCACCATTATCACATTCTACTTTTTCTACATTTCTCACATCAGTTCAACATAGCAAGCTTAGACACTTTCCTAAACAATTGGCCACATTGGGATGACATATCAATCATCATTATTTAAAACTTACTTTTAGTATTGAGAGTAGTGAGGAAATTTCCTTTTGGTAAGTCAATAATTTCTGCCTAACATGCAAAACGTATTAATTTCCTAACTTTAATTTTAAAATATTTTCACTAATTCATCATACACATATGTAGTTATATACGTGTGTTTAATATATTTCATGAAACAACATATATGCAGAAAATTCCATAAATGGCTGAATGAAATACAGTGTATTATAAAGCCACACCCATATAAATACCTCCTAGATCAAGAGACAGAACTAATATCAGCATTTTGCAAATTCTTTTTGAAATAATACACCTAGATAATAATAATCAATGACTGCTAAACTTACTGAGAGACAAATGGATGTTACATTCTTTCTAACAGAAGTAAACAACATCATCTATGAAGTATTCCCTCCTCGACCCCCAACTCCTGATCCAAATGGAATCTGAAATACATCAAACTCTAGGGGGAGAATACTCTAACTTCCAGTTACAAGAAATACAGCAGACAGAGGAACATATTCAACAACACCAGAGAGATGTAATAAGCAAATAAGACTGTAAAAAACACCATAGGACAAAAGGCCTAGTTTCTTCTAATAACAAAAACAAAATGTAAAAGAAAAGGTAAAGGAAGGAAATGGGAGCTTAAAGATGAAAAGAGACTTAAGTATAGAGCAACCATATACATTTTCACCCAACACAGGATATTTCAGAAACAGAAAAGGGATGCTATTGAAAATGGGATTCTGGACAATCTAGAATGCACAGTCACCCCACTCAAGAGGAATAGCAGCCAAATATAAGATGTGATACATTTTGTGGATACTGATTTGAACAAACCAACTGTTGAAATAATTGGGAATATCAGTAAACACTGATATTTTACCCAGTGAACACTGGGTAACTAATGATGTTATGAAATTAATATTAAGCTTCTGGATGTGATAATGGTTTTATGAATGCATGTTTTTAATATCTTATCTTTTATAGATACATAAAAATATTTACCCATAAAATAATATGATGTGTGAGATTTTGCTCCAAAATGATCCATGTTATGGGTATAAGAGTAATAGGATAGTAGAGATGAAATAAGATAGGCCATAAATTGATCATTTTGAAACGGGTGGTAAGCATATGGAAGTTTATCAAATTGTTTTATTTGCTTTTATTTATGTTTGAATTTCTCCATAATTGTTCACCTTGATATTTAGTTTATTAAAAAAATCAGTACCTTAGACTTCTCCCGTATGCCCACTCCCAATCACACCACTCTTGTTCTTCTGTAACCACCATTCTAATTTTATGATTATTACATCCTGCTTTTTTTGTACTTTTACCGAGATGTACTCATTACTAAACATAACTCAGTATTATGTTCCATATATGCTTATATATGGAAGTATGCAGTGCATATTATTTTGTGTATGTTTAAATATACATTACATAGATTATATAATGTTGTTGGATATCACTCCAGGATTGTCATTTTCGTTGCTGTATTAGATCTCATTGTATTAACTACACTATATATATTCTCCAATCATTGTAGGATGATTGGACATTTGGATCCTTTGTAGTTATTAACTGTTACAAACAACATGCGGGCACATGTGCAAATATTTCTAAGAGGTTTGTATCCTGGAATGGAATTACTAGGTCAAAGTGTATGCATATCTTCAACTTCGGTAGATGATCTCAGTTTACCAAATTGGTTGTTTCAATTCATATTTCCACTAGGTAGATAGGAGAATTTGAATGGCTAACGGTATTATTCTGATTCTTAATGTTCATCATTCTGATGGGTGTATAGTGGCGTCTTACTATACTTTAATTTGAACTAGCAGTTAAGTACCTTTCCCCTTTGTTCATTGGCCATTTTTATATATCTTTGGTAAAAGGCCTGTTCACAAGACATCCATTTTTTTAAAGGATTGTAATTTTTTTTCTTATAGAGGGTTTAAAAAAAATTAGGATATAAGCATTTTTTCAGTTACAGTGTTTAGAAGTAAATACTTCCACTCTGTGAGCCATCTTTTCACTCTTTAATAAGAACATTGATTGATAAGCAGAACTCTTAATTTTCATATTGTTTTGGTTTGAGTCTCTCCAAAAACCAAGACAAACACCTGTGTACAGGTAGTCTAAGCGGAAAATGATCCTATGAAACAGAGATGAAGGAATAGGGAGAATTCAGGCAGAAATAAAAGCCAATATAAAGGTTGTTGTTGACATTACTGTTGGAAGTAGGGCTTCATTCTGGCAGAAACTCCTGTGAATTGTACAGAATGCCTCTCAGCGCAGTCTGTCTGAAAGACAGGAGATGGAAGCATTTTTCCCATTTCTCGCCTTGCTGTTTGAGATTATGCTTAGGGGTCTTAATCCCACACTCCAAGGCTGTGTTTTCACACTAGCCAAGAGAGTCACTGGTGCTGCTAAATTTAAGCCATGGAACATAAACCATGTAACTTGAGGAGAGATGCTGTCAGAGGTGAGTCTGAGTCAGCACAGAACTCTCTAACCACTAGCTATGTTTAAAATTAGAGATGAGTCAAGGGAATGTGACATCGGCACTGGTGACAACAACTAAAAAGTAGTCCAATTTATTAATATTTTCCTTTATAGTTAATGCATTTTATGTACTGCTTAAAAAACATTTCCTATCCCGAGATTATGAAGACATTCTCCTATATCATTTTTAAAGCATTATTTTTTTGCCTTGACATTTGAGTGTGTAGCCCTAACTGGAATTATTTTTTATTAGGGTTTGATGTAAGGTCAAGTTTCACTTTTTTCCATATTAGTATTCAGTTCTCTCTGTATCATTTAATTGAAAAGATAAAATTTTCCCCACAGTGTCACCTCTGCATTAGTCTAGTACCCATATATGCATGGCTGTGGGTGGTGGTCTAAAGATGATAGCAAATCCTTTGTCACTCTTGCTATTGAGAGGCAGAATATATTTCCACTCCTCTTGAATATGCGCTAACTCTGCAACCTTAGTTGATCATCAGAATGTGGCAAAAGTGATGCTGCATGACTTCCAAGACTAAATCTTAAGAAATGGCTAGTATCCGCTTTTGTGTGCTTGGAACACTCCCTCTGGGAACCCAGCTGTCATCTTATGAGAGGTCCAAGCCACATGGAGAAGACAAATGAGGGAGATCTGAGGTGTTGTCATCAACAAATCTAACAATCTCCCAGCCAACAGCCAGAACCAAATGGCAGACATGTGAACAAGCCATCTAGAAAGTTCCATACCTATTAAGATACAGAAAGACTACCGCTCCAGCTGACACCATATGAAGCAAAAGAACCATCTTACCAAGTCTACAGAATCATGAGGGAAAACAAATGATTGTGAGTTTAAGCCACTAAGTTTTGGGATGGTTTCTTATGTAGATATAGATAATCAAAACAATATGTTTCTGGGCTCTCTGTTCTGCTCCACTGGTCCATTTGTCTATTTTTGTCACACTGTGTTAATTCCTGTAGCTTTATAGTAAGATGTAATATCTGGTGGAGCAAGTCTTCCTGCATTCTTCTTCACCAAGATTGCCTTGTCTATTTTGACACTGAAGTTTTATGTAGATTTTATTACTAGCTTTCAAGTTTAAAAAAAAATCTGTTGGGATTTTGAATTGAATTCATAAATAAATTTGGGGGGAATTAATAATTTTACAATATCGAATCTTTCAATCATGCTACAATTCTCCATTTATTTAGGACTTCTTTAGTGTCTATCAATAATATTTTATGGTTTCTGTATAGGTCTTCTACATGTTTTGTTAGATATGTATCTAGTCATTTAATACTTTTATGTTACTGAAAAATATATTATAAATTGTATTTTACCTGACTGTTGCTGGTATATAGGAATACAATTGATTTCTTATGTTACTCACTCTTATATTCAGCAACCATGTTAAATTTACATATTAATCCTGAAAATATTTCTGTAGATTTTTTATTTGATTTGTACCCAATCATATCAGATTCAATAAAATGTTTACTCTTTTAAAACCTATTTCCTTTATTAATTTATCTATTTATTTTCCTTATTATAAGTACATTACAACATTGAATAGATGTGAGGATAGCAGTATTCTTGTATCACTCTTAATCTCAGACAAAAGGATTCTAACGTTTCACTATTAGGTATAATTTTCCTGTAAAGCTTTTTAATTTCATGTCTGGTTAAGAACTAAGAATATATACATAAATGGATGTTGACATATCACATGGTTTTGCTCACTCTGCTGAGATTATCATGCGATTTTTCTCTTTATTTTTAAATTAATTACATTAATTGATGTTTAAATGTTAAATCAACCTTGAATTTCTGGAATAAATCCTACTCAGTCCTGGTGTCATACTTTTTATATACTGCTGGATAAAATGTACTAATATTTTCTTTAAGATAAATTATACCATGAATTATACTATAAATATCATAGTGAATTTATCTGTTTTTGGTATCAAAGTTAAAGATACCATGGCATGTGCTTCTGGCTTCCAGTGTTTCTGTTGACAAGCAAGATGTCAGTCTAATTAATGCTTCTTTGGGGTAATTTTTTAAAATGGCATTTAAAAAGTAATCACGGCCGGGTGCAGTGGCTCACACCTGTAATCCCAGCATTTTGGGAGGCCAAGGCGGGTGGATCACCTGAGGTCGGGAGTTCAAGACCAGCCTGACCAACATAGAGAAACCCTGTCTCTACTAAAAATACAAAATTAGCCGGGCATGGTGGGACATGCCTATAATTCCAGCTACTCAGGAGGCTGAGGCAGGAGAATTGCTTGAACACGGGAGGCAGAGGTTGTGGTGAGCCAAGATCACACCATTGCACTCCAGCCTGTGCAACAAGAGTGAAACTCCATCTCAAAAAAAGAAAAAAAAAGTAATCACAACAACTAGAACTTGAGGGCATTTGGGTGAGCCAGACATTCTCTACTTATTTTCCCCTTAAGACATTTTCAGATTTGCAGCACAGGCCACAGAGGCAGAGTAGCAAGTGATATCCTAATGGTCTAGAGCTTTCTTCAGTCTCCAGGATGTGCAGAAACAAAAAACTAGAGTGTGGAAATGTGGGGGTTCAGTCAGGATGGTGGGAAAAATTGTAAAATTATAGGAAATAAACACAAACCTTCTTGGAAGGCCTGGGGGTTTGCATAGCTTCAGTAAAATGTTTGGCTGAAGGCAGCTGAATTCTCTTAAAAGCTCAGGATGTAGATACAGAGGAATGTAGAGGAGTTTATCTAAATAACTTGTTTACTCATGTGGTCCTAAAACTAACCTTTCATCATTTGCGCGCAGGATGGCTCTCTTGGTGGGAGGGCAACCAGGTTAATTACCCTCTAATAGTGTTGACTCAAAGCCTTTGTCATTTAATGTGTGCTGAATAAATGCCAGCAGGGCCAGCGAGTCAGGGCCGTGGTTGCAACTCTTTACAGCACCCTCCTTGGTGTCTGCAAGTGGCCCGTACCCTCAACCAGACTGAGAGGCAAAATGTCTGTGTCAGTGTACATTATTCATCCATCATTGGGTCAAGGTCTGCGGGACAGACCCCCACATGGAAATACCAAAGCAGCCAGGACTTAACGGTCTGAGATCCTGAAGAAGGGGATTACTGCAAAGAAATGAGCCCAACATTCTGCACTTCTTTTCTCCTTGAGGCACTTGCTGAATCTTAAGTTCAAATCAGTATCTGACCTTTACCTTTCCTGCAACCTCTTTTCAAATCACTTTCTCTCTGTGATCCAGCCATAATAGCTACCCCTCACTCTCCTTTCTGGTTTCCTCAGTGCACTGTTCTCCCTTTCTCTCTCACCACAAGAAGATTATTTGTTCTGCTCCAGTTAGATGGAATTATTATTTTCTATTCACCCTTAAAGTTATCTCCATAGCCACACAGAAATTGTAGGACAGGTCTAAGACACTGGCAAGAGGACATATAGATAGAAGGCTCCCAAGGTCACCCTGAGGGAAATGAAAATAAGAGATAAAGAGAGAAAGGATCTCTTACATGACAATTAGAGGAGGCATCTGCGTGGACTGATAAGTGACTTAATGAGAAGAGAAAAAATATGTTTTGTACTATCTGCTGGATTCAAGTGTACATAAACAACAATTCATAACTTTCTAGTGTTGTACTGTATCTACACTTCTCCCTAAATACTGTAAACATAAGTAACAACCTATAAATCCTCAGGGAGGCTTTCCTGATAGATCCTCTCCACTCACCTTTCCCACCCAGATTAGGCCTGCCTCTTCATGATGGATAAATTTTCTTAGCACAGAATTCCCATTTTCTGTAGCATTTATCTTAGTTTATAATTCTATATTTATCAGTGTTATTATTTGGTTATTGTGTCTCCATCACTAGGCTGTCCATGAGGCAAGACCCACGTAGGTTTCTCCCTATATTGTATTCACAGTGCCTAGTATTGT
Source organism: Homo sapiens (assembly GCF_000001405.40). Lineage (NCBI taxonomy): Eukaryota > Metazoa > Chordata > Mammalia > Primates > Hominidae > Homo > Homo sapiens. Next base: position 97,591,092 of record NC_000006.12, on the reverse strand, counting down.
GCCAGACACCTAATAAATATTCACATATCTGCCAAATAGATGAGGAAGCTGGTATTCACTTGACAGAATGTCAGCATCTACAGGGTGAAAAGCCTGGCTAAGTTAGATTGTTTTAAACATTATGGCCTGTAAATAAGGATATGGTACCTTATTAGTGCCATAAAAAATAAAATCATTTTGGGCAAATTTTATACAATTTGAAGCACTCAACTTATTAAACTACCTATGCAATCTTTAATAGACAATTAATGAGCGCTCTTCATATACAGTCATAAAAAATACTTCATCTATGGCCTCAAGGCCTTATTGAGCAAGATAAGGAATAAACAGTACTCTATATCATAGAAGTATGCAGTGAACAGGAAAAAGCATGGGCTTTCCTGGAGTGGATCTGGACTCGTATCCCACCTCCGTTTCTTACCATCTATGTGACAATGGAGAGTAATTTAACATTTCTGAGTATTTTATGTAAGATGAAGATAGCATTTATCTCATGGGGTTGTAATGATTACATAAAGAAATGCAATCTTCTTAGCACAGAGTTGGTACACAATAAATGCTGTGAAGCTGGTATAATTGCAGACAGAATCTGAACTTTCTAATCAGGAGACCCAAGTCAGCACTCCTGCTTGAAAATTTGTTACTGATTGACCAAGAGAAAGTTAGTTCATGAGACTCAATTTTATGAGACTCGATTCTTCTATCAGTAAATGGGCATGATAATACGAATAAATAACCTACAATTAAAATTTATCTGTAAAGTGCCTACTAAATTTTTTGGCAGAAAGTTGGCTTCAATAAACTATATGAATAAGGAGGAAGGGAAAGGAGAGAGAGAGAAGATGTTAGGTTTGAGGTATCATATGTCGACACACAATGGAAATATATAGTAGACAATGGGAAAATGTGTGTCAATAATTCAGGCAACAGGTTTAATTGAATATATGGAGTTAGATCAACAAAAGTAATTTTTCCTATTATTTTCTTTCAATACACATTATTTATTTTCTCCAAGGCATTTATCACAATTTGTAATCGCATATTTATTTGTTTACTGGAACCTTATCTCTTACAAATTGGTTTTTATGAGGGAGGAGTTATAACTGCTTTTTACTCCACATAGAGCACATAATAAGGGCTCAGCAATTATTGTTAACTGAGAACTATCAACTGAAAATCTGTATCTATAAAAGACAGGTCAGTCAGTCAGTGCTCAGTGGTGGAAAAGAAGAGCTATTAGAACACTGAAATTCTAATAGAAATGAATACTGTTCATTAAGTTAATTACAGTTATTTTAACTTAATAAAACTGGTGAAAATATTTTAAAAGTTTAAATTAAAATGATATCCCCATGAGCTGATGCCAATATGAACAACATTTATGTTAACAACATTGTCTGATGTGTAGTAAATGAACAATAAATATTATTGAATGAATGACAAATTTATGAAACCAATTGTAGTCCATGTGTAATGATTTTATTAAAAGCCAATTTTTAAGATGCATTGTAAGTCATAAGAAATATTTCAAAATGTACCAGTTAACCAAGGAAAATAAAACAGAGAGAATGAGTAGAGAAAAATGCAAGAATTACAACTATTGTCAAACATAGCATTAGTTGCAAAGTTCATTTTGTCTTATAGCCACATATAGCATCAGAAAGAAAAAGAAGTTTAAATCAGGAATCCTTAGGAAAGTTTTCAACATGTCACCAAAACAACAGATGGTATCCAATAGAAATAGTGATAAGAACCAACTGAAAAATAACATCAGAAAAAAGCAAAAGAAAGAAAAGGGGAAAAAATACTCTAGCCTAGAGAATAAAATAGGCCCACAAAATGTTAATATGTAAAAAAAAAAAAGAAGCCAACCAATGAAACTTTTTATCAAAACAGCATAAATCCTGCCAAGAAAAAAAACTATAAAAAATTTTGGTTAGAGGACCAACAAAATTATTTTAGTTTTCTTTAATCAACAAATTAGATAACATAATGTATGTGGATTTTCATATCTTAAGAAAACTTACATACCAATAAGAAATCTCTGGTTTTAAAACATGTTGGAGGGAGGTAGAACACATACAAATATATAATCAATAAAATAATGAGAGATAAAATAAAATAGTTTCTTTTTAAGTACTAAATCAATACCTAATTAAATAATTTGGAAATAATAGGAGCAAAAATTGCGTAAAGGATCTTTTGGATTTCTTCTCCATATACCGATTAAGAAAATTGTCCCAAGGAATTGAAAAATTTTACCGATGATAAAATTATAAAAATGTATGGAAAAGGAAAATTAATTCAATATAGCATGATTTTTAAATGAAATTATCTTCTCCTTATAAGGAGTCTAATATATACCGAGTAACATGCTAGGCACTTGGGGGATGGGGAAGAATAAGTCAGATATGTTTCCTGCCCTTGTAAGTTTACAGTCTAATGAAACAGGAAGTTAATAGACAAACACATTAAAAAATAACAGATTGTGTTACATGCCATCAAAATAGGAATAGAGTACTATAAGACAGCTAGGGGAGCCCTGAAGCCTTTTAGGATATTATAAATTGCCTGGAGAAATTAACAGCTTGGAATACAGCAGTGAAAATAGACATGCAGAGAAAATATATAGAAGTATTTTTGCACTGGGATTTACTGCTTTTTAAAAATAGATTGAATGCGGGAAGAAAATGTAAAGAAAAAATTCAAGGATGAGTTAGCAACTTGTTAGATGACTTTAGTCATTTACTACAATGAGGGACAACTGGACATAGGAATCTAGAGCATGGAGAAGCTGTAAGGATGGAAGACTTAATCTTTTTTTTTTTTTTTATTTGAGACAGAGTCTTGCTCTGTCACCCAGGCTGGAGTGCAGTGGCGCGATCTTGGCTCACTGAGACCTTTGCCTCCCAGGTTCACGCCATTCTCCTGCCTCAGCCTCCTGAGTAGCTGGGACTACAGGCGCCCGCCACCACGCTCGGCTAATTTTTTTTGTATTTTTAGTAGAGACAGGGTTTCACCGTGTTAGCTAGGATGGTCTCAATCTCCTGACCTCGTGATCCGCCCGCCTCGGTCTCCCACAGTGCTAGGATTACAGGCTTGAGCCACCGGGCCTGGCTGGAAGACTTAATCTTACTGTGCCATCAATATATATTTTAAATTATTAGTGGTTGCGTTTCCTGGGAAGAAAGCATAGAAAAGGAACACAGATTCAAAATCAAATCCAGAGGAATTCCCACATGTAGTGATAGAAGTGGAAAAAACTAGGCAAACACAAGGGAAAAGAGGTAGAAGAAAATGAAGAGAGTAACTCTTTTGTGGCTTCTTGCAAGAATCGGCCCAATTTTTAAAAGGAAGGAGTGGTCAGTTGAGCCAAATGCTGCTCAGAATACGCTAAGCTCACTCCCACCAGCTACAACCCACTCCTCCTGCCACTTTCAGCCTGACTCAAGAATAAGATAAATCTCTAAGTATGTTTCAAATTTATCAAACATAAATAGGTCCCAAGTATGTGGGCCTTAAAAAACAGTAAGACTCACATATAGAAGGACAATGTGAATGAATAAAAAATTGCCAATTTTCAGCTATAGATAGTAATCTGGGATAATTTAAATTAAATGAACATTTTACTACATGCCAAAGTAAACTTCAGAGAGTTGTTAAATGTTTTTTATACATTGATGAAAAGTGAATAGAAAAGAGAATAGAATATCAGATCTACGAAAGAATAACTTTCTCAGATTTGAAGCAAAGAAAAAATAATGAAGGAAAAGATCAACAGATTTTAATATACATTCACTTAGAACTCCCAATCAATGAAAATCAGTAACTCAGATAAAAAGCACGTGTAGGAGAAAATATTCTGAAGTTGTAATGGTTGTATTTACTGAGACTTTACTGGATCAGTCACAAGCAGGTAACAATTAATTTATTATTTCCCACCACTTTTCCTGATTGATCAGATTTCAAAGCTATTTGCAGTCACTTGCAGAAAGTAAAAGTTCGATTCAGTCTAATATCAAAACTACAGATCATCAGCTAATGACATTCTTCTTCCCTCCTCCAGTTTTGGCCTGCCCTGGACTCAGAAACCCACAGGAAGGAAAAGAATATAAGCAGCTTCTTCACATTTTCTTCACTCCACCTCTTTGTAACTACTCTCTAGCTGCTATTTTGGTCCCTCTAGAGTTGGGTCTGCAGGAGTAAATTAAGAGAAAGGGACAGTGTACTATGGCTAATGAGCTGTCTCTGACATCAGGACTGCTTGTTTTTTTCCCAGGGCATTTTGGGAAACTTCTTGGTTCATTGAAAGCAGAGGATGTCATCTTATGCTGGCTTTTAAGACAAACTTCCTCAGTCCCCTACCTTCTGAGGCTTCACAGTATGGATATTCTATCTATTGGAAAGTTTCCCCCAACCCAGAAGACTTGTTTCTCCTGAAGGTGAATCTTCCAGAGCAGAATCTCTTTCAAGATAATACAGTTGGCTTCCCTTCATCCAGTTCATTTGGTCTGCTGGAAAACTCAAGCATCTTAGCTCCCCCTGTGGGTAATTCAGCTAGTTCTTCTACATTCACAGGATCTAACCAGCCAAGCTGTCACTTTGGGACTGCTCAGGCCTGGGTTGGGTAGCAGTTCCTGTTTCCCTTAAATTTCAGGGGACATAAGACACTTCCCCTCTCAAAGTAGATTTCTTAAAGCTTCTCCAGCTTTGCTGGAGGGGGAGAAATATCCCTTCTGCTACTCCATGAGGAATGAGAGAGGGAATGCCACAACACACACACACAACTCACTCTCCATTTCTCTTTTACCCCAAGATAGCCTTTGTAACTGGCCTGTTGTGTATAATGTTGTTTTCACAGTACTCTGAGACCATGAGAAAATGCACAGTTAGCATGCTGCTTCATTGTTAGGGTTGGAGTGGGTCCTTTTACATTGCTGGTAGCAATTGTATATCAGTACAACCTTTTAGAAAGAATTGCAAGGCCTAGTAATTCTGCTGGAAATACTACTCAAAAAAACCATGAAAAGGTCTATGCATATAGATGTCCACCGTAGTATTCATTGTCTAAAGCAGTTCCCAGATCACAAATGTCTGCTAATGCTAAATCATAAGGAGAAGTTTGTTTTCTCAGAAACTTACATTAACAAGTATTTTACTCACCCTTTCTTACTTTTAACTTTTGCTTGTGAGGACCCTCACTCTTCCCCACTAGTCTTGACTTCCTAATCTTATTTTCATCGTTGTAGGTCCAAATTTTGTTGGAACTTTGTTACATGAGACACGATTTTGTTAGTTCTCTCAAGCAACTTATGGACAACAGCAGTTACAAAAGAAAGAATGAATGAGGAAACCCCTGCAAGAACACTCAACTGTCCAAAAAGAATAGTGAAACTGCCTGAGGCAGCAGTCACTGTCAATCAAAGACATCACATTGCCCTACCCAGACCACCATAACAATTTAATCAGAATCTGTAGGGGTGAGCTGAGGCTTCATAATTTCTTTAACCCCTCCCATGGGTGATCCTAATGTGTAGCCAAATTTGAGAATCACCATTATAGAGATTATCATCTAGAGAAAAGAAGAGACAGGCAAAAGAGCACATGAATAATATATGTATTATAGAGCCAATCAAAATTTTAAAAGATGAAGAACAGATAGAAAAACATGGTATAACCTCTAAACATAGCATACAAAGGCCTTTATCATCTCATCTCTACTTACACTATCCTATTTGTTGCTCCTTTCGTGGTCCTTCCCATCCTGTGTTAGAACCACACTAACCTTCTCAGGTACCTAAACATGCTAGGCCCTCTTGGGCTCAGCCTGATTTCCTTCTTGATCTACCTAGATCATTCCTTCTCCCAGCTAACAGATGAGGTGCATTCCCCTACAAATGGCCTCTCTGACAACAGAACAAGACTCCGTCTCAAAAAAAAAAAAAAAAAAAAAGGCCTCCCTGACCATCCAGGCTGACCTGGATGCCTATGTATATCATAGCACTTCCTGCTCAAAACAGGTCATGTCACACTGTATTGTAACTGTTAGTTAATTTATATTTCAGTTTTTATCACTTTGAAAGCAGGAACACTGTCTTCATTTCATCTCTGAATCCTAATATCTATCAATGTGACTCGCACAGAGGAAGTGTTCAATAAATGTTGGGTTGAATTTTTTAATGCACATAATATAAATAATCATCAAATACAAAATTGTAACTATGAAAACATTTTTGGATTGGAGAATTATATATTAGAAGAAGGAGGAAAAGAAAAAATGAGTGACAGAGAAAGAAAACAAAGAAAGCAAAGAAGAAAGAGAAAGGAGGAGAGAGGGAGGGAGGACAAGATGGAGGGAGGAAGGCAAGAAAAAAAACTAATACAGAATACCTTGTAATTGACAATAATTATAATTTCATTTAATTCACACAGAATTCTCTGGGGTAAATACTATTTTTCTTATCTCACAGATGATTAAACTGAGGTCAAGAGAATTAAATCATTTATTCAACTTTGGAAAGTTTATAAGTACTATATTCAGGTTTTGAATCAAGGTTTATAAGATCAAAAATAGCTATCATTTTCAGAACTAAAATAGTTATTTTTTAACCTTGATTTAAGAGAAATGTTTCATGGGCTGGAGGCTACAAGCAGGGTGAAGTACCAGCAGATAAGAAAGTCAACACAGGTCTATCTTCTATAATGCTCAAAAGTAAATCCACTCACATACAAATCCACAGTTGCAGTCCTTGTGGAGAAAATTCAGCAAAACCGTATTACTGAAAAAGTATCACAGTGATTAGTTATTTTCTGCATTTACCATTCTATGTTTAAGCTGCCATTAAAAGTCTATCACATTCGACATTGTTTAACAGAATTTCTTTGCTAGGGTGTTATTAATACATAACCATTCTGCAGATTAGATTTTCAGGACCAAAGCTGAATTTCCTCAACTTCCTAAGACTAACTTCATCAAAATTGAAACAAAATAGGTGGTATCTATATCTCTGTGCTTATGGTTTGTGATAGCCTACAAACAAAAGGAAGTTGTGAGATTTCATTACACGTGTTAGCAATAAGAAACCAACAAAAGAAGCTATTTTAAATACACAAGCAAAATCTATAATATATAACCATAAGTATTAAGAAAGATGCTTTGAGAAATAGAAGAGGACACACAAAAATATGAAAAGATATGCCATGTTCAAGGATTGGAAGAATCAATATTGTTAAAATGTCCATACTACCCAAAGCAATCTACAGATTTCATGAAATCTCTATCTAAATATCAATGACATTCTTCACAGAAATAGAAAAAAAAATCCTAAAATTTATATGGAACCACAAAATACCCAGACTAGACAAAACTATCTTAAGCAGAAAGAACAAAACTGGAGGAATCACATTCTCTCACTTCAAATTTTACTACAGAGCTATGGTATTTGAAACGACATGGTAATGGCATAAAAACAAACACATAAACCAGTGGAACTGAATAGAGATCCCAGAAATAAATCCATACATTTATGGTGAGCTCATTTTTGACAAAGGTGCCAAGAACATACATTGAGGAAAGGACAGTCTCTTCAATAAATGGTGCTGGGAAAACTGGGTATCCAAAGGCAGAAGAATGAAAATAGACCCCTATGTCTCATCATATAAAGAAACCAAACCAAAACGGATTAAAATGGATTAAAGGCTTAAAGCTAAGACCTCAAACTATGAAACCACTTAAAAAAAAAAAAAAAAAACATTGGGGAAACTCTCCAAGACATCGGTCTGGGCAAAGACTTCTTAAGTAATATCCCACAAGCACAGGCAACCAAAGCAAAAATGGACAGATTAGATCACATCAAGCTAAAAAACTTCTGCACAGAAAAGGATATAATCAACAAAGTGAAGAGACAACCCACAGAATGGGAGAAAATATTTGCTAACTACTCATCTGAAAAGGGATTCCTAATCAGAATATATAAGAAGCTCAAACAACTCTAATGAAAAAATTTTGATAATCTAATTTTTTAAATTGGCAAAAAAATCTGAATAGGTATTTCTCAAAAGAAGACATACAAATGGCAAACAGGTATATGAAAAGGTGCTCAACATCACTGGTCATCAAAGAAATGTAGATCAAAACTATGAGACATTATCTCACTCCAGTTAAAATGGTTTTTATCCAAAGCCAGGCAGTGACAAATGGTGACAAGGATGTGGAGAAAAAGGAACCTTTATATACTGTTGGTGGGAATGTAAATTAGTACAACCACTATGGAGAACAGTTTGGAAGTTCCTCAAAAAACTAAAAATAGAGCTACCATATAATCCAGCAACTCCATTCCAAGGTATATACCCAAAAGAAAGGAAATCAGTATATCAAAGAGATAACTTCACTTCCATGTTTATTGCAGCACTATTCACAATAGCCAAGACTGAATCAACCTAAGTGTCCATCAACAGATGAAAGGATAAAGAAAATGTAGTATATATACACAATGGAGTACTATTCAGCCAAAAAAATGAATGAGATCCCGTCATTTGCAATAACATGGATGGAACTGGAGGTCATTATGCTACATGAAATAAGCCCACCACAGAAAAACAAACATTGCATGGTCTCACTTATTTGTGACAGCTAAAAATTAAAACAATTGAACTCATGGAGATAGAGAGTAAAAGGATGGTTACTAGAGGCTGGGAAGGGTAATGGGTAGAGGGGATGCGCAAGGGGGTAGGGATGGTTAATGGGTACAAATAAATTGTTAGGGTGAATAAGACCTAGTATTTGCTAGCAAAATGGGGTAACTATTTTAGCAAATAATTTAATTGTACATTTTAAAATAACTAAAAGAGAATAGTTGAATTACTTGAAACACAAAGGGTAAATATTTGAGGTGATGGATACCCCATTTACCCTGATGTGATTATTATGCATTACATATCTGTACCAAAATATCTCATGTAACTCATAAATGTGAACACATACTGTGCACCCACAAAAATTAAAAATTTTAAAAAAAACCTTTTCTTAAAAAAAAAAAGATGTCTTGAAAATTAAGGGTAAACACCTGATAGGCACAGAGAGTACAAAGCTGAATTCACTCACATTCCATTTTCTCTGGAATCCCAAAACCTGCTAAAGACAGGAGATTTCAAAAATAAGCACAAGACCCTTCATTTCTTAATTTTATTGGAGGAAACTGAGGCTCAATACATAAGCCTATTGCCCAAGCATTCATGACTACAGGTAGACCAGCCAGCATTCAGCTCATTAAGAGCCAATCCCATCTTTATACTAAACTATAGTGTATCTCTCCATATTCATTTCTCTTTTTTTATTATTATACTTTAAGTTCTAGGGTACATGTGCACAATGTGCAGGTTTGTTACATAGGTATACTTGTACCATGTTGGTTTGTTGTACCCATCAAATCGTCATTTACATTAGGTATATCTCCTAATGCTATCCTTCCCCCAGCTCCCCTTCCCCCCGACAGGCCCAGGTGTGTGATGTTCCCCGCCCTGTGTCCAAGTGTTCTCATTGTTCAATTTCCACCTATGAGTGAGAACATGCAGTGTTTGCCATTTCTCTAGCCTTACAAAATCACAGCCCAAAACTCCTAAATATATCTGCTCTGTTTATTTTATTCCTTTTCCTCCTTTGGTCAAAAGAGAGTTTTCTTAAATCTGTATTTTGTTTTTATTTCTTGTAACGTACAGTTTCTAGAAATGTTGTCATATTTCTCCTTATATTTTAGTCATACAATATAAACTTATATAAATATATATAAAATATATATAATCAACAAGTTTACGCAGAACACTGTGTAAAACTATTATACTGGATTACTTATAATAGCAAATTTTTGCATTGAGATAAACAGCTCACTATTATTATGGAACATTGACTTAGGTAACATGAGTAAATGAGGAAATAGACATACTTCTTGATATTGGAAACATAATGTTAGTGGATAAAAAAGGCAAAGGAAAAAAATGATTAAAGAGATAGTAAAAATGTATCTAACTATTCCCAGTGATTTATAATATCTTTACCCTGACATATAACATCTCGGGCACTAATAGAACTTGCAAGTGAAATTATTGAACCACAGCTGGCAATATTTAAGCATATTCTCACTCATAGGTGGGAATTGAACAATGAGATCACATGGACACAGGAAGGGGAATATCACACTCTGGGGACTGTGGTGGGGTCGGGGGAGGGGGGAGGGATAGCATTGGGAGATATACCTAATGCTAGATGACACGTTAGTGGGTGCAGTGCACCAGCATGGCACATGTATACATATGTAACTAACCTGCACAATGTGCACATGTACCCTAAAACTTAGAGTATAATAAAAAAAAAAAATTAAAGAAAATCTAAATAAATGGAAAAATTTTTCATTGAAAAAAAAAAAAAAAAGAAAATGGTCAAAAGCTGGAGAATGTTCTTGGAAGCAATGGGGAAGGAAGTAGAACTGTCTACCAAGAGAGTGTTCAAGTTTCTCAAACTCAAATGCCTCTAGGGGCAGACGAGTAGTGTAAATGAGGGAGGCGGGCAAGCAGGGAATGTGGTAAACTGAGAACACAGGCTCTGTCTAGAATAAGCAGCACTAGTCCATTTCAGTTAATTGTCAACATGAGGGAATGTGGGAATTAATTAACAGATCTTATAATTTTTCAAGAGCAGTAAAAAAATCCACAATTTTTATGTAAATATTGTCATCATATTGAAAAAGTACAAAAAAAATAGATCAGATGACAAAATTCTGCCTATGCTGAATTCAGATGTGAGCCACCAAGTTATAGAGGTCTGCTGTTTCTTCTAGTTGGAAATGAGAAATAAGCTATCCTTCAGATTTCTAAAGTTGGCATACAATAAAATGAATCAGAGATATACAAAGTCATCTTAAAGAAAAGGAAAGGCTCCCAGGCAACAGCAAGTCTTGACTGAATTAATGAATATATCCCAAAAAAGACTTGTTGATTCAAAGATGCTTGGTATGTCTGAACACAGAAAATCACAGTCTGATTCTAAAACACAGGAAAAAGTTTTCTGGTTCACGGACTTGAATAATTCATTCCTAAACTAAGGTGTCCAGCTTGAGGAGATTGTTGCAGCTGCCTTCTGCCATTAAATGCTTGGTTTAATTTCATATATACCAAGCTAATCTTCTAAGTAAAATGTAATGTTCTGTAAATCTATATGCAGGACACCAGTCTCCACGAAAGGGAAGCATCATTATAAATTGACAAGATGATAGTTCAGTTTGTACATCTCTCTCCAGTAAGACTTGTTAAAGGAAGTGTACCCCTGAGAAACAGACCCATTCACAGGATGCTCAAAGCTAAACAACCGAATCTAGATTTTGGTAAATTCACTAAGGCATACCCTCTGAGTTGTCTTGGTGGACACTAGAGTAAGACTTTTTCCTAGATCTACTCAAATTTACCACTCACCAATTTTTTAATTTCATTATTACAAAAAAACTAAAACTGTTGTTGAAGTGTTCCAACAGGGGGAAAAAAAGAGGCCAAGAGATTCTACAAACAAAAGAATGGTGAGTTTAACATCAACCTCAAGCACAATTCCAGGAAGAAATGATGGTTTGTAAATATTTTAGAGAAATAACAACATGCATTTAGTAAGTATAATTTTAAAAATAATAATAAACTCACTGACTGAAACATTTGAGAAATATGGTAGACAAAGTGTACCTAAATTTGAGAAATACTGACTACCAAAGAATCCTCATTAGAGATTTTTAACCATTCTTCTTCATTCCTTACTTGGATAAACATAAAGAATTTTTATGACATTTTCAGATCACAAGACTACATAAAGAAATATAATGGATGATTTAAGTGAGAGCAAGAATGGAATAAGTCAAAGTTATAGGTATTTGTCTTAAATCTAAAATTATTCTTTCCAGTTCTTCAAACCAAATGCCTAAAATAGCATAAATTATCAAAATATATGTATAATTGAGAAATTTAAAACCTGTGAATATTTGATGGCAATAAGATCAAACTGAGTAAATACCGTAATTAATGGAATCTTAGCTCAATAAAACTGAATTTTTTTCATATAGGAAAAGGATGATAATTAGTCACTATTCTCTGTGAAGTCAAACCATGTCCAGATCTATATTTAGGCCCAAATACCCTTTCTTAAAAGGCAGAAAGGCTTATGGAACTCATTTGGAAGAAAGGAAACAAGATAATGAAGGGCAACCAAACCAAGTTATGTGAAGAACAACAGAAGGTACTGAGGATATTGGTCTGTCAGATGGAGAAAATCAAACATAAGTAAGACTCATCTAATATCTAAAGATATCATAAGGACACAATGTGGATTTGTATACTATGGTCACAAGGAATTAGAACTTGGAACATGGTAGAAGTTTCAGAAAAACATATTTTAGCTCACTGTAAGGAAGGATTTTTCCATAGGGAGAGTTGCCAATGGACAAAATGGACTGCCCCAGGACGCAAGAGGATACTCCTCCTTGAATATATGTGTGTGGGTGCTGAATAACTATTTAGTGCAACTGTTACAGATGGGTTTCAAAAATTGAACGGCTCATTGGATTTGGCCAGTGGTTTTTTAAAAAAAAAACTTTTCTAAGGAACTTGGTGCCTGAGGGATTTCCTCATACATATGAATATAATTTAATTTTGAAAATACTTGTTCAGGCCAGGCATGGTGGCTTACGCCTGTAATCCCATCCCGGCACGTTGGGAGGCCGAGGCAGGCGGATCAAGAGATCGAGGTCAGGAGATCGAGACCATCCTGGCTAACACGGTGAAACCCTGTCTCTACTAAAAATACAAAATCAAAATTAGCAGGGCATGGTGGCAGGCGCCTGTAGTCCCAGCTACTTGGGAGGCTGAGGTGGGAGAATGGAGTGAACCCAGGAGGCGCAGCTTGCAGTGAGCCGAGATGGCGCCATTGCACTCCATCCTGGGTGACAGAGGGAGACTCTGTCTCCAAAAAAAAAAAAAAAGAAAAAAGAAAATACTTGTTCATCTGTTTTCACAATTTTGGCTTTATAAACACACTGAAATGCGTTAAATATAAATATTTTCCATATACCAGTGTGTTTTTCTGTGCCACCAGCCATCCCATTTGGGTGATATTCTGGCAGGTGTTTTCCCCAGTAAGTAGGTGCCACACATTCGGCTAACTGCTAGAACCGCCATGGTGTATCGCTGCAGCACGTGCTCTCTGACAGCCATAGTTGCACAATAACAAGGGAACATACAATAAATCGTGTCCTGAAAACATAGAGCTTATTTTAGTGCTTATTTGGAGTTCTTGGTGCTTTGACTGGGTAAAGAATGAGATCTGTTTTTAGTTACAGTTACCAATTTAATCTTGAACCCAAAATTCCCTCTCGCTACTGTTTCAAGCTTATGTATCTGTTCACTAAAGAGAATAAAGACATTGTGAGGCACTCCTTTAAAGGACAGTTATCATTTGCATCTCCTTATCTGTGTGACTCAGGATATTCCCCTTGCTTTAAAACCAAGTCATGATGTAGAACTAAATTATACATTGAGGCAGCCAGAGGACAGTAACCAACACATATACTCTTCAGTTTCACATGTGTGATCATCAGGTGGTATTAGACTCACTGACTGATTTTATAATAAGAAAATCATTGTAAATCTGAACATTTATGATATTTTAGGCTGGTAAAATGTCATTTTATCTGTTTAAATGCTGTAGATTCTGAATAAAATTTTATATCTAAAATGAGTTTTCTGGTGTTTAAAAATGTATAGAAACCACTTGCATAATCATTAAGTTACCTTAAAACCTGCAGGCCTATAATTTTATGTGATGTAATATTGATTGTAAGATAACTCTAGTTTGTCTTTACTAAGACTTATAAATGATTTTCTAAAAAGGATAGCCCTAACTTAATTCAAACAGTAACACAGTGTTCCAATACTCTAAGAAGAGAGATAATATTTTTAAATGCGTCTCTATGCTTATAAATCCCCATTTCTCTTCATTTATACTTAAATTCACAACATGTAGCTCATTGAATTTTACCCTGCCCATTATGTAAATTATAAATGAGGTATAATTTAAACCTAAATTTATTTTGTTCTAATCAATTACACTATGTGTTTTAGTTTAGTTTAACAGACATAATGTGAAAGCAAGACTGTGACTACCTAACTTCAGTAAAATTAAATTGTCTCAACCTTCTATTAAAAGGTAGTACATAGTATTTTTAGAAAGACAATAAAGGAATATAGGATCTGAAAATGAATAAAGCTATGAAGGAAGGTTTACTTCACCTTGTGGAAACTGATGGATAGGAAGTCGACTTATTTGACCAAGCTGACTTTGGCTGTCAAGAAATTTCCTGTTCTATACGGCAATCTGGCCCAGGCCTCAGAGTCATCAGAATAAAATCTGAGAGCCATTTCACAGGAGAATCAAATAAGATTTGGAATGAAAATTTCATTGCAAAGCAAGAAAAATTCACAATAATTTTCTATAATACAAGACTTTTTTAGCACTTTTATTGTTGAAGCAATTCTAAATAACAGCGTTTCTTATAATAGCATTTTTATAATAATGGTGTTTTGTATCAGAAGTGCTATTATTACAGAAATGGCATTATAATAGTGGCATTATTATTGCTGAATCTCTCCTATAACGGAAGTGCTAAACAAGCCTATCTATATTAAAGAAATTTCAAATTTCTTCCTCCTCAGAACTAAAAGTGCATTGGCCAGTCACTTTCATATGATCACATTGTGAGTAATCTTATATACCTTGGCCCAACATTGAAATATATGTCCATTTCACACAAAGACTCCTAGGAAATCTGACAGTGAACTAGGAGTCAAAAGACTTGAGTTGTATTACCGAATCTAGCATTAACTACTGAATTACCTTAAGCATGCTGTGACTCTCCTCTGAGCCTTTTCCTCTCATCCAAAAAAAAAAAAAAGAGGTCCTTTATAACTCTTAGTGTAAACCTTTCCTTTACTAACTGCTCATTTGGTTCCAAATCCTAATAGAATCAATTACCTATCTTACTTCTTTGTTTTAAACTCATTGATATGCTATTTTTAATCAGTTGCATTTATTTTATTAGAATAAATCTAAATTCTCAAGTTAGAAGATAAATAAAGGTAAAAATTCATTTTGAAAAAAAAAATCTTCCCTTAAATCGTCAGCATAGAGCTCTGAATACAGTGGATAATTTTAAATTTTTAATTAAAATGCATCTGATAACAACATTCCAAAAATCCAAGCAAAATCAGAAAATAACAGGCTTTCATTCTGAAGCTAGCAGAATACTATTCAGGAAACTGAAACATTTTCAAGTTGAAGTAAAGCAATAAAATATTGAAATAATGTTGGAAGTGATAAAAAGATATAATGTACAATAATAGTTACAGTTCAAGAAATTGCCTCAAAAGAAATCTTACATCCACACAAAGTATATTACTATAAATTTCACTTCTCATTCAATAAAGTATATATTGCTTTGCCATATATTTAGAGTATTCATCAAAAGAATTTTATATATGAAAGATGAATAACTAAATTTAAGTTTATAAAATTCTACTTTTCATTAAAGATATCTTGTAATCCTTTGATGATGAGCTTCCAGGAAAGAAAAGAAGACAGGAAAGATTTTAAGTTCCAAAGCTACTGACCTTTTTAGCATTAAAATAAAATCCTATATATTTCCAGGTTCATACAATTAGATTACACCATCTAGTTAGGACATAGTTTGAGAAACAGTAAAGTTAGGAAATTCAATATATTCATATCCTCTGTAGGCATTTCTGCATTTTTTGACTGTCATGAATGCATTGAGTGTATATGCTGGTAAAATGAACATATTATTGACTGCAAGCAGAGAAGTTTTTTTTTAGAATAAATACATATACACACATGTACATGTGTAGACACACAAACACACACACATATATATACATATCAGACACACATACATTGCATTGCTGGCAAATAAGAGTTATCTTTGGGGCAATGACCATACCATAGTTATTCACCATGATAAATGAAAGCCTTCAAGAGCTATAATTTTTAAAACGTAGGCAAAAAAAAAAGTAGCTATAGCATTTTTAACCCAAGAAGAACAGCAAGAAAAAGAACAAAAAAGAAAGAGTAGGAAGGAGAGGAAGAGGACATATGATTATTTCTGATAAATTACTAAGAGATGGACTTAAGGCAGGGGCTTACTAGGTGCCACTCTAACTGACAAGTATACACATTCCCGCACATATCTATTCAATCTTGATGAGAATGGTACTTACTTTTCAAAGTATTGAGGTCCAGTCTTCAGTGAGACATTTAGTTTTCCTCTGTTCTGAGTGGGATTGAGGTGGAAGATTGACTAAACATCTGCCTGTGTGCCAGCTCCTGTTTTAGCAGTTTGACATGTGCTATTTTATTTAATCCTTACTGCTCTCAGAGTAATAATAAATATTATTATTATCCAGTAAGAAAAATGATGTTCAGAGAAGTGAAGCCACCTGTCCACAGTCACCCAGAGGCCATGCAACAGCTTCCTAATACTAATCAGTCAACCTACATAGGTGTATTGATCAAGAGGTGGGAGAGACTAGCAAAGAATGCATGAATCTGGGCAGAGGCATCCTAACTATGGAAGAGCTCCTCTAAATGCCAGGTGGAGCTGACCCACATAGCATCAAAAAGAAAAGAGATTTTAAACATCACCAAACACAATTCCTTTATTTAGTAGATGAGAACACTAAGTACAAGAAAGATAACCTACCCAAAGTCTGAGCACAGATTTGAATTTTGGGCTCCGGACAATTTCTATCTCTGTCCCCTACGGTACAGTAGCTCTTCATGGACAATACGTGTTATCATTTGAACTAGTCCTATCTGTTGATTAGATCACACTAGACAGAAAGCTGGTCTTGTAGTCTTTTAACAGCAAATAATAATATTAAATTGAGAAAACTGTTGCAGGAGGCACTCAGTAGTATCATCTTACAACATTAAGAAAGTCACCTGACCACAACAGCCTCAGGCGCTCGTGTCTCAGGTAAACCAATACAGCTCCTCCTTCAAAAGCATATTGCACTATTATCTAGTACAGGAATTCCAACCTGTTTTGTGCCATGACCCTCTTCTCAGATAGTGTTTTTAAATGCATGAAAGGGTATATCTATAAGACTACATTGAAAGCCAAATATATTAACATTTCAATTTCAAAATAGTTTTAAAAGATATGATTTTATTGTTGTTTACTTCATTTTTTTTAACTTTTATCTAAACTTCAGGGGTACATGTGCAGGTTTATTACATAGGTAAACTTGTGTGATGAGGGTTTGTTGTACAGATTATTTCATCACCCAGTTATTAAGCCTAGTATCCATTAGTTATTTTTCCTAATCCTCTCCCTCTTCCCACCCTCCACCCTCTGATAGGCCCCAGTATGTGTTATTCCCCTCTATGCGTCCAAATGTTCTCATCATTTAGCTCCCACTTATAAGTGAGACCATGTGGTATTTGGTTTTCTGTTTTGTGTTAGTTTGCTAAGGATAATGGCCTCCATCGCCATCCATGTCCCTGAAAAGGACATGATCTCACTCTTTCCTATGGCTACATAGTATTTAGTGGTGTATATGTACCACAATTTCTTTATCCAGTCTATCACTGATGGGCATTTAGGTTGATTCATGTCTTTACTATTGTGAATTGTGTTGCAATGAATATATACATGCATGTGTCATTATAACAGAATGATTTAATGGTATTTCTGTCTTTAGGTCTTTGAGGAATTGCCACACTGTCTTTCACAACGGTTGAACTAATAACACTCCCATCAACAATGTATAAGTGTTCTTTTTCTCCACAACCTTGCCCAGCATCTGTTACTTTCTGACTTTTTAGTAAAAGCCATTCTGACTGGTGTGAGATGGTATCTCATTGTGGTTTTCATTTGCATTTCTCAAATGAGCCATGATGCTGAGCTTTTTTGCATATGATTGCTGGCCACATGTGTGTCTTCTTTTGAAACATGTCTGTTCATGTTCTTTGCCTACCTTTTTATGGGGTTGTTTTTTTCTTGTAAATTAAGTTCCTTATAGATGCTGAATATTAGACCTTTGTCAGATGCATAGTTTGCAAATATTTTCTCCCATTCTGTAGGTTATCTCTTTACTCTTGATAGTTTCTTTTGCTGTGCAGAAGCTCGTTAGTTTAATTGGATCCTATTTGTCAATTTTTGCTTTTGTTGCAATTGCTTTTGGCATCTTCATCATGAAATTTTTGTCCATGCCTATGTCCTGAATGGTATTGCCTAGGTTGTCTTCCAGGGCTTTTATAATTTGGGGCTTTACATTTAAGTTTTTAATTCATCTTGAGTTAATATCACTGTAGCCCTGTAGTATAGTTTGAATATTGATTCTTCCTATCCATAAGCATGGAATGTTTTTTCATTTGTGTTATCTCTGACTTCCTTGAGCAATTTGTAGTTCTCCTGTGGCTTGTAGTTCTCCTTGTAGAGATCTTTCACCTCCTTAGTTAGCTGTATTCCTAGGTATTTTATTCTTTTTGTAGCTATTGTGAACGGGAGTTTGTTCCTGATTTGGCTCTTGCCTTGACTGTTGTTGATGTATAGGGATAATAGTGATTTTTTAAAATTTATTAACAGTATCTATCTAACAGCAATTCTAATAATGCTAACTTTGAAATAGTGATGAAGGTAAACAATTTTTAGTTATCTTTAATACTTGTAGTACAATATGAAAATAGTAATGATTCACATTAAATACTAAAGTCACAAGTACTGCTAACACCACTGTGGTTTGTTGCCTACCTTTATAATTGAAGGAAATGCTAAATTTCATCAGAAGCTAGTATAAAGATACAATTTTTATTCTCACCCTGAGTTCTACCTACATACTCCTTGTGAACCCTAGATTAAAAGATTCTGATCCTAGGAAAAGTTGGTGTTGACAAGGTGATTAAAAAAGAAAACATTCTGGAAGTTTTGTATCAGTTTCTAGAAGATTGGCACACGAAAGAACAGAATTCCTATATCCTAAAAAATCTCAGTGGATCATGGCTTGGTGTCCTTGTTCCAACATTACTTTAAATATTCAACATTTAAAAAGGGATCTCACAAGGTCAATGTTTGAAACAATGGAAATTTCTCTCAGAAGCAGGATCTTTGTGTGCTACAGTTCTAGATATCCAGAGAAAAGGGGGAACAACGGGAAAGGAGGAATGTGAGATAGTAGGAATGATTTAATTTTTAAAAAATCATCAGGCAACACATAGAGAAGGCAAGAAGGGTGCTAGAGCAATAAAGCCAATTAGTGGATCAAAGGATGACAGCCACATTTTGAAATAAAAGAGTAAAAATTTTAAGCAATGAGAGAGATTAGAATAGGGAAAGATAAGGTCATGCAGTTTAGACAACGGATGTTAGAAAACTAAATAGCAAGCAAAAAACACTTCTATAGAAACAGCTGCCTAAATTCATCATCCCTTCATGTTTGGATCCTGGTTATAAAGAGTTTTGACTCACCGGTTTATTTTTGTATACTGTTACCTTTTGCTTTTGTTGTTTTCAGTCTTATTCCTAAATTGATTGGCTCTGTCATTTTTCAATTGTTCTTTCTTTTTTATTTTTCATAATAAAGAAACGACAGCACAGTTTTTGTTCTAATCTACCAATTCTTTTATTTTCTGCAGGGGTTAATATAGGCTCTAAAGTCAGATATTGTTGGCACATAATTTTCTCCAGCTCCCCAGTTTCTAGTTGTTCATTAGCCTTCAACATGTTGTATGCACAGTATGAGTTCATTATGCAAAAGGCCATAGTACAAATGGAATTTACTTAGACTATGTAGAGCTACACATATTTGAACGCTGGTTCAAAGGCACCATATTGAAAGGCAGTTGTGGCCCACCAGCCAATAGCACCCCAAAACCCCACATGGTTGAGCCCTGTAAAGGAAGGAAAGTTCTCTGTCTGCCAGGGTCTGACAGACAAACTGAGGATTGTCGGCTAATCAACAGTCTAAATTCTGGGTTCCTCATTTGCAGAATGGGAATACAATCTAAATAATTATTCAGAATAAAGAGATTAAAATTTATTACTATGACTATTTGGGTATATTGGATGTTTCTTCTGTTTGGGCTTCATTCACCTTCTTGAATCTGTGGGTTTAGCACATTTTAAAATTTGAAAGTTTTTTGACCATTGTTTCTTCAAATATTTTGGGGACCCTTCATTCCTCTCTTTTTGGGACTCTAATTGCATATATATTAGACTACAAGTTATAATCTCATATGTTATTAATACTCTGTTCTTTTTTTTCCCAATCTTTTTTTACTCTGTGCTTCACTTTTGATAGTATCTATTGTTATGTTTTCGAGTTAACTGATGTTTCTTCTATAGTGTCTAATCTGCTATTAATTCCAGCCAGTGTTTTTCATTTCAGATATTATATTTTTCATCTAGAAATGTGGGTACTTTTTATAACATCGTTTTCTCTCCTTTTCATGATCATGTTTTCTCCTATCTTCTTGAACATGTAGATTTTATTTATAATTGCTGTTTTGACATCCTTGTCTACTAATTTTATCATCTCTATCATTTCTGGGTCTGTTTCTACGAATTAAAGTTAATCCTAGTTCTAGGTCAATTCTCCCTTTTGTGTGTGTCTGATAGTTTTTTCATTGGAGGTAAGAAATTTCGAATTTTAAATTTCTGGGTGCTAAATTTTGTTGTATTATTTTAAATATGATTAAGCTTATTTAAATATGGTTAAGCTTATGGTTAACATAATTAAATTACTTATAATTAGTTTCATTCTTTGAGTCTTTCTTTTTAACTCTGTTAGCCTGGGATCTGGGAATTTTTTAGGCTAGGGCCAGTTTGGACTCACTCTTAAGGCATTACCATTCTGAGGATTGTCCTCAATGCCTATAAATTGGGCATTCTTTTCACTTTGGCTGGAAGGAACACAAACCATTCTCTGCCCTATATGAGCTTCTAGAATTGTTCTACCTGCTCCTTCCTAGTGGTTCTTTCTCTGACTGCAAGATGACCTCATGCATAGTCAAATACTAAAAGGGACCCTTTAGTACATCTCCAGCATTCACTTTCTGTGGATCCCTTTGGCATATTTTGCCTCACAATTTCTTGCTGTCTTGGCCTCCCCAAAGCTCGAATTCCTTCTTTTCAATCCAACAAGACCAACAGGTTCTGTTTGGATTGCCCTTCCTTGGGCTGCATCCTGGAAATGCTCTCCAATTAAGAAGTGGGGGCAACCATAGGGTTCTCCAGGACGGCTCTCTACTCTCAGGAATCATTATCCTGTGTGGTCTGTCATCTAAAATCTGAAACTGTGTTTCATTTATTTTACCCAGTTCTTAGGGTGAAAATATAAATCTGGTTCCTGCCACTGAATTCTTAGAAACTGAAATCTTTACTTTTATGTATCTGAATGTTGAATAAAATAGCTCTTCTCTGAATTTCTACCCATAAAAGAAACAAAAAATCAACATATAACCTAAATACCAACCATATTTTAAAACAAAGTAACATCAACAATAATCAATGGAATAAAATATACTACTGGTGTTACAGAATAGAATTACTATTCTCAGGCTTTTATTAGAAGGTGTTTTGGGAGCCGGGCACAGTGGCTCACATCTGTAATCCCAACACTTTGGAAGCCTGAGGCAGGCGGATCATGAGGTCAAGAGATTGAGACCAGCCTGGCCAACATGGTGAAACCCCATCTCTACTAAAAATACAAAAATTAGTTGCGTGTGGTGGTGCGCACTTGTAGTCCCAGCTACTAGGGAGGCTAAGGCAGGAGAATCACTTGAACTGGGGAGGCAGAGGTTGCAGTGAGCCAAGATCATGCCACTACACTCCAGCCTGGACAACAGAGCAAGACACTGTCTCAAAAAAAAAAAGAAGGTGTTTTGGGGAAACAGCATTTAATCTCATTTGCATCGTCGTTTGACATGTTTTAAAATGATATTTTGCTCTATGATTAAGCATATCAACTGGAAGTTAGCTCTGAAATTAAGGCATCCATTTTTCTTGCAAATGTTGAGATAATTCATCTAGGGACAACACTGCTAAATGTTTTCTTAGTTCTGGTGCTTACAAGAGCCAATGAGAATGACTGGTCCATCTCCTTGCATGAATATAACAAATATCAGGCAAACACAAACACTTAACTTTGTATGTTGGTAAAGCCCTGTACTGTAGAACAGCAAAACGGAGTTTTGAGAGTAGACTTTGTACCATAACCTATCACAGCCACATCTCAATATACAAACATACACAAAACTTCAGTAGAATATCAAAGTTACAATTCTGAATTAGGCCTAATGGTTTTAAAGCCCAGTACTATCTCTTAACACTTGTGTCATCTTGGGCAAGTTATCTCTCTGAGTCTTAGTTTTACTATCTGTAAAATAGGGACAAGAACATTATTTTGTAGAGGATTTTAAAAGATATGTGTAATCTGAACTTTATATATTAATTAGTCATATATTATTATCAGTTTTAACTTCTTCTAATGAAGACTCACCAAAGTCATCTTTTCTCTTTCACTCTTGATTTTATGAGGTGAGGTCAGAAATTTAAATCATGATTACAACATGCAACAACCTTTTCTCTTACTTAAGAACAAGTTATATTAATTCTAAGAAGTATTGTTTTGAATAGAAAACAAATAGCACGTAATAAATCAACATCTCCAATATTCAAATTGTACTTTTATTTTATGATAATATATATCTAATGATAATAAAAGATTCTCCTATTTCTCCATTTCTGTGACATTTATAGAAACACTACCTAATAGGTAAATTTTACAAAGAAGAAATATTTTAAAGGAAGTTTTCTATATTTTTGTCCCTTTATGTAATCTTCTGTCATGATACTCGGTCTACAAAATTATTTCAATATTCTACCAAAAAACAATATGCTTACACCCTAGTATCTATGTTCATTGTCTGGAAAATCTTACCATTATGTATAGGTTTAAAAACATAAATCTTCTTGTCATTTATTTTTAAGTAATAAACATATTAAATACCAGTTTTCTTGAACATAGAAAGAAATGCAAAAATATAGTCTGGGAACATTGGAGGGGATGATAAAAATATTTAGAGGAAATAAGATTTTATTTAGGTCCTTAATATTTTATCCAAATGTAGATAATTATATGTATTGTAATGATTTAATTGTGTATAATAAGAATAATTATTACACAAGATTTTAAAATAAATAGTATTACTCCTACCATAAAAGATTATAGTCTCTAGATTTCAATACTTAACTCAGAATCAATCCAACAGGGTAACAGGTAACAGAAGCACATGTTGTATATATTTACAGCTATAACTTGCATTACAAGGGAATTAAAAAGAAATGAGGCTGTAAATGAAAGGCTTTTACGGATGGATCTCTTCTAAGTGATATATGCGATACAAGTGATTAGCATTAACTGATCTTCTTGAAGAATGTACTGGTATAATTCATTATAATAGCTTGGAAGTGCAATTAGTGAACTATAGTGTAAATGACACTGCTGTTCTTAGACCTACCCATAAGAGTAATTATATTTTGAAAACTACTTAGTGAAAGATTGATTGAATGAGTCCTATGGGCATGGATAATTGAGATAAAAATACGTAAACAAAATGCCTATTAATAGACTTTATAGCACATTTATATATTTACACGGTTTGTTATTGCAAGATTTTATAAAAGCAGTTTTTAAAATTTTCTCCTTTTTAAATAAATACTCCTAACTTAAGAACAACTAGATATGTATATTTTATTTAGTAAAGCTAAATTATGTCTCTGAATACAGTATAACTATATTTTTAATAGACTGAAGTAGAATGTCTTATTTTAATGACAAAGTAAACAAGAAATAAAAGATTAAGTATTAAGTCACCTCAGGAAATAGGATTATCCTATTTATATTTTTTTTAGCTCAAGGAAAAGGAAAACAATGATGAGCAACACTATTATAATTATGAGTTCATAATATACAAACCAAAATGACTCTATAACTACATAATAAAAAATAGTAACTCAAAACATTTTCATTGCTTGTCTTGGTATTAGATTAACAGATTGGTAAAAATACATGCTATGATAAATTAATTCTTAATTTTAAGGTTTATTGTCCTAATCCCAAAAAGACATATAAATATTATTTACATGCCCTATATATTTCATATTGACAAAGGTATCATTTTACATATGTATATGTATATACAATCACACACACGAGTACTAGACAATAAGTACAGACTACAAATTTGAGTTCTAGCTCCAGGAGATTAGTGCTTTAAGTTGCAGCTTTATAGCTAGGTAGTGGAACTATATATGACAGGTAATTGAGAACTTGAGTTTACTCTTTTGTAAAATGAACATATTGTATTATATGATATCTAATTCTAAAGTCCAATGAGGCAGGACCCTGTGGGTGAAACTTAGAAATTAGCTAAACTTATGTTCCTATTCATATTTCATGTATCTTATTAGCTAGATAATCCTGAGCAAATTTGATGGGCTGCATTTTTCTCAGTTGTGAAATGAGGATGTGATTATTTCTAACCATAGAATGATTATGAGGATCACATGAGACAAGTGTGAAATTAACAAATGTCATTCTTTGTCCACAGAAACTATTCGATATTAGTAATTAATATTATATTTGTCTGTATCTTCCAGTTTAGGCTAAATTCTGCTGAGGTGACCAAAATAAAAAATCTTGATGACTTAAAGCTATAAATGTTTCTTGATCTCCTTACTTCTCATTTGTGGATTGGCTGCAACTCTGCTATCTATCCTCTTCACTGGAAAACCCAAGCTGAAGAAGCTACAGCTAACTGAGACATGTGGTCTCATGGCATAGGGCGAAGAGTAATGTGGAATTATGTATTGGCTCTTAAAGCTTCATCTGGGAGTGGTGCACATCATTTTCACTACATTACATTGACCAAAGCAAGTCTCTTGACAAACCTAACATCAGTGGAATAGAAAATATAATCCTCTAGCAGGGAGGAGCCAGTAAGAAAGAACAGCAAACAATTCTTTGAATAATACAATCTACCATTCAAGGAGTCTTTCATTCCTCCTTGAATCTCACTAACTAATCTGTGGCCATCCTATCTGCAAAAATATATGTAATGCATCTATGTTTCTACTCATGCATACATAGAATCTCACTAACTAACCTGTGGCCATCCTTTCTGTAAAAATATATGTAATGCATCTATGTTTCTACTTATACATACATACACATCAATATGCCATGGATAATTACATATTTTATGGGTACTGAATGACACCCTTTATGTAAAGTTATCTCTGAAAAATTAAATAGGTTCATATGTCAAAAGGCCAAAAATAAGATGGAATTTAATGATTATTAGACTTGCATCAGTGCATGAATGTCCAATATTCATTTGTTTTGCAACTACTTGGTGATGGGGAAGAACCAAGAGTATATTCAGTAAAATCTTGATTAATAAAATCTAGTTGTTACCCTCAATTAAATATTTGTACATGTTGTTTATTTGTATGCTACCATTTGTTTATGATTCACTCTACTATCCTACATGGCTTCAACTTTTAGGAAAGAGAAAGAAATGAAACAAACAACCAAAGGTGTTCTTGCATTGTATTCCTGACTGTCTTATCTTTGTGCTTTTTGTAAGCCACTCAAAGGCCCTTCAAGCTGCCAAAACTTCTATTGAAAACAAAGAACTTAAATCGGGGACAATAGTACAAGTTGCGGTTTCGGACATTTTTGTATTTACCACTATATTCCCAGTACTTGGGACAGTGTATGGTGTTAGGTTGACATTCGATAATATGGATGAGTAAGTGAAGAAGTAACTGAATAGATACGGAGAAAGATTTTAGTGGCTGCTATGGTTAACATGTTCTTCCATCTTGTTTCCTAAATAAAAAGATTTTAAATTATTTGTTTTGTAATGAAAAAAATCCTTTAAAGATTTTTAAGTGCTTATTTCATAGATATATTGCAAACCAAACCCCTTGGCATCTCTTAAAGTACAATGAACAAAATTTATATTGCATTAACTGTGAAAGAACAAAAAAGAGTCAGAATTTCTATGATAATTTCTCTGTTGATCTGAGGCAGTATCCAGTATGGAAGGGCAAAGAGCAGAAGAGCCATTCAAAAAGAATGCTATGTTTTAAACAGATATAGCAAATAGTTCCAAACAAACTTGTTTTTTTTCTTCTAATTCATGACTTTGATTTCCATTTTGCAGTTTCCTTTAAAAATATTACTCTCTATTCATGTTGTTGAAAATGACAGGATCTCATTCATTTCTACAGCTGAATAGTACTCCAATGTGTACACATGTATCACATTTTCTTTATCCATTAATCTGCTGATGGACACTTAAGCTGCTTCCAAACCTTAGCTATTGTGAAGAGTGCAGTGTCAGTAATAACTTAACTGTACATTTTAAAATAGCTAAAAGAGTGTAATTGGATATTGTTCAACACAAAGGATAAATGCTTGAGGGGACAGATATCCTATTCTCCATGATGTGATTATTTCACATGACATGCCTGTATTAAAATGTCTAATGTGCCCCATAAATATATGCACCTCCTATGTATCCACAAATATTTCAAAAAATATATTACACTCTGTGGTTTTTTATCATTTAAAATACAATCTTTTGAACAATCACATAAAGTCTTACAATATTAAACATTAATGGATCAAATCTCTTCATCATAAACAAGAAGTCCTCATGATCAAAAAATTTTTGTAAAAAATATATTTAATGGAGGAGGGTGATTAGATTAAGATGGTAGAGAGGAGGCAAGGCTAACTTGCAGCTCCCACTCAGACAGACAGAGCAGCATGTAAAGACTCACATGGTGAACTTTTGCTCCAAGAACTACCACAGGACCATACAAGAAAAGCCGAGATAATCTACAGACCCTGTGAAGGAACGGGATCACCCTGGCAGGCTCTCTGAGATGCCAAAATACTGTGTGAGTCTGCTTGCTTTCTCAACAGGGAGGCTCGTGGTCTGGGGCAAGTTCTCAGTCCTGGTCACTGGCTGCCTGGAAATAGACTCAGTGCTTTTGCGGACATGGTGGGAGTGAGACCAGCCTTTAGGACTGCCAGCTGTGTGGGAGCAGGTTGAGGCCTGTGACTGCTGGCTTTCCCCCACTTCCCTAGCGACCTGTATGACTCAGCAGAGATAGCAATAATCCCCCTGGGAATATAACTCCATTGGCCTGGGAGCCACACTCCCATGCTCCACAGCAGGTGCAGCAAGCCCCGCCTAAAGAGAGGCTGATCTCAGACATGCGTATCCCTGCCGGCACCTGGTGGTCTTTCTCTACCAGTCCTGGTAGGCAAAGACAAAGGTCATAATCTCTTGGGAGCTCTATAGTCCTGCCCACCACCTGAGAAACCTGAATACTTAACCAGGTGTCCCTAGGGAAAGTTTACATCCTCCCTATAGGACCTCCCCATAGGATACACTCTTTAAAGCACCACCTCCTGGCTGCAGGCCAACCAACACAAAATCAGCTCTCTAAACAAAAAAAACAACCAAAGACCCTCACAGAGTCCACTTAACTCCCCTGCTACCTCCAACGGGGCAGGTGCTGGTATCCATGGCTGCAAGATCTGAAGATGGATCACATCACAGGACTCTTTGCAGACACTCCCCAATACCAGCTCAGAGCCCAGTAGCTCCACTGGGTGGCTAGACCCAAAAGAGTAAAACCAGTCACTACAGTTCAGCTCTCAGGAAGTCCCATTCCTAGGGGAAAGGGGGTGGAACACCATATCAAGGGAGCACCCCATGGGACAAAAGAACCTGAACAGCAGCCCTTGAATCTATGATCTTCCCTCTGACAAAGTCTACCCAAATGAGAAGGAACCAGGCAAACAATTTTAGTAATACTACAAAATGAGGTTCTTTAACACTCCCAAAAGAGCATACCAGCTCACCAGCAACAGATCCAAACCAAAAAGAAATCTGAGAATTGCCAGAAAAAGAATTCAGAAGGTCAATTATTAAGCTAATCAGGAAGGCACCAGAGAAAGGTGAAGTCCAACTTAAAGAAACAAAAAACGTGATACGGGATATGAAAGGAAAATTATTCAGTGAAATACACAGCATAAATGAAAAACAATCACAACTTCTGGAAATCAAGGACACACTTAAAGAAATGCAAAATGCACTGGAAAGTCTCAGCAATAGAATTGAAGCGAAGAAAGAACTTCAGAGTTCGAAGAAAAGGCTTTCAAATTAACCCAATCTGTCAAGGACAAAGAAAAAAAAATTTAATGAACAAAACCTCCAAGAAGTTTGGGACTATGTTAAATGTCCAAACCTAAGAATAATTGGTGTTCCCAAGGAAGAAAAGAAATGTAAAAGTTTGGAAAACATATTTGAAAAAACAAACAAGGAAAACTTCCCTAGCCTTGCTAGAGATCTAGACATCTGAATACAAGAAGCTCAAAGAACACTTGGGAAATTCATCACAAAAAGATCATCGTCTAGGCACAAAGTCATCAGGTTATCTACAGTCAAGACAAAGGAAAAAAATATTAAGAGCTGTGAGGCAAAAGCACTGTGTAACCTATAAAGGAAAACCTATCAAATTAACAGCAGACTTCTCAGCAGAAACCCTACAAGCTAGAAGGGATTGCGGTCCTATTTTAGCCTCCTTAAACAAAGCAATTATCAGCCAAAAATTTTGTATCCAGTGAAACTAAGCTTCATAAATGAAAAAAAGATACATTCTTTTCCAGACAAACAAATGTTGAGAGAATGTGTCCCTACGAAGCCCCAAGCCAACACTACAAAAACTGCTAAAAGGAGCTCTAAATCTTGAAACAATCCTCAAAATACACCAAAACAGAACCTCCTTAAAGCATAAATCTCACAGAACCCATATACCAATGACACATTGAAAAAAAAAAGGAATTCAGGCAACAAAAAGCAAATGAATAGAATAGTACCTCATATCTCAATAATAACATTGAATGTAAATGGCATAAATGCTCCACTTAAAAGATACAGAACGACAGAATGAATAATAATTCACGAACTAAGTTTCTGCTTTCCTCAGGAGACTCACGTAACACATAAGGACTCAAATAAACTTAAGGTAAAAGAGTGGAAAAAGATATTACATGCAAATGGACACCAAAAGCAAGCAGGAGTCGCTATTCTTGTATCAGACAAAACAAACTTTAAAGCAACAGCAGTTAAAAAAGACAAAGAGGGACATTATATAATGATAAAAGGACTAGTCCATAGGAAAATATTACAGTTCTAAATAAATATGCACCTAACAATGTATAAAACAATTACTACTAGACCTAAGAAATGAGATAGCAACACAATAATAGTAGGGGGCTTTAATACTCCACTGACAACACTAGACAGGTAATCAAGACAGAAAGTCAACAAAGACACAATGGACTTAAACTATACCCTAAAACAAATGGTTTTAACAGATATTTACAGAACATTCTACCCAACAACTGCAGAATATACATTCTATTCACCAGCACATGGAACATTCTCCAAGACAGGCCATATGATAGGCCATAAAACAAGCCTCAGTAAATTTAAGAATATCAAAATTATATCAAGTACTCTCTCAGACTACAGTGAAATACAATTGGAAATCAAAAAAGAAACCAGAAGGATCAACTCCAAAAGGAACCCACAAAACCATGCAAATACATGGAAATTAAATAAACTGCTCCTGGATGATCATTGAGTCAACAATGAAATCAAGATGGAAATTTAAAACTTCTTTGAACCAAATGATAACAGTGACACAACCTATCAAAACCTCTGGGACACAGGAAAAGTGGCACTAGGAAAGTTCAAAGCATTAAATGCCTACATCAAAAAGTCTGAAAGAGCACAAATAGACAATCTAAGGTCACATCTCATGGAACTGGAGAAACAAGAATAATCCAAACCAGTCAGAAGAAAAGAAATAATGAAGATCAGAACAGAACTAAATGAAATTGAAACAAAAAAATACAAATGCTAAATGAAACAAAAAGCTGGTTCTTTGAAATGATAAATAAAATTAATAGACCGTTAGTGAGATTAACCAAGAAAAGAAGAGAGAACATCCAAATAAGCTCAATTAGAAAGTAATTGAGAAATTAGAAAGCTCAATTAGAATGTAATATCAGGAGATATTACAACTGATACCACAGAAATGCAAAAGATCATTCAAGGCTACTAGGAACACCTTTATGCACATAAACCAGAAAACCTAGAGGAAATGGATAAATTCCTGGAAATATACAACCCTCCTAAATTAAACGAGAAAGACATAGAATCTCTGAACAGCCTAAGAACAAGCAGTGAGATTGAAATGGTAATTTTAAAATTGCCAAGAAATAAAAAGTCCAGGACCAGACGGATTCACAGCTGAATTCTATTAGACATTCAAAGAATTGGTACGAATCCTATTGACACTATTGCACAAGATAGAGTAAAAGAGAATCCTCCATAAATAATTCTATGAAGCCAGTATCACCCTAATACCAAAACCAGGAAAGAACATAACAAAAAAAAAGAAAACTACAGAACATATCCCTGATGAATATAGAGGCAAAAATCCTTAACAAAACACTAGCTAACTGAATCCAACATCATATCAAAAAGATAATCCACCATGATGAAGTGGGTTACATATCAGGGATGCAAGGATGGTTTAACATACACAAATCAATAAATGTGATACACCACATAACATAAACAGAATTAAAAACAAAAATCACATGATCATCTCAATAGATGTAGAAAAAGTATTTAACAAAATCTAGCATCCCTTTATGATTAAAACCCTTAGCAAAACTGGCATAGAAGTGAGATAGCTTATGGTAATAAATGCCATCTACAACAAACTCTTAGTCCTCAAAGAACTAGAAGTAGATCTGCTGTTTGATCCAGCAATCCCACTACCAGGTATCCACCCAAAGAAAAAGAAGTCATTATACAAAAAAGATACTTTCACACACATGTTTATAGCAGCACAACTTGCAATTCAAAAATATGGAGCCAGCCCAAATGCCCATCAATCAACGAGTGGATAAAGAAAACGTGGTATATATTCACCATGGAATATTTTAGCCAATCTCTACAACAATACTAAAAACTAATTGGCATTATTTCCATTTTACAGCCAATGAAACTGAGGCTAAGAGAGAATACATTTACCAAACAGTGGCAGAGCAAGGATTTACACTCATCATTTTAGGTATAGATATTAGAGTAGAAAGTATGGTTTTTACAGTTGAACATGCCTCCAGAATGCCTAGGTAAATACCAATCCAAGAAGTCATTGGTGTTTAAATTAAAATCCACTTTCCAAGAATACAAGATTTCTTTCTTAAGATTAAATAAGAAGGGAAAAAAATCTTTATTAGTAATATATTGCTATGTAATAAATTACCACAAAGTTAGAGGCTGCAGACAAGAGAAATTATTATATCACAATTTTTGTGGGTCAGAAGTCCAGGCACGAGTTAACTTGGTCCTCTGTTTAGTCTCACAGGATGTTGGCCAACCTGGAGTCTCATCTGGAATCTAGAATGGATCCACTTCCCTAATTATATAGTTTTTGGCAGCATTAAGTTCCTTGCAGTTGTTAGGACTGAGAGCTTCGGTTTTTGCCAGTTGTCAACAAGAGGCTACCCTCAGAGGTCACCTGCAATCCCTTGCCAAGTGGGGTTTCTCAACATGGGTGCTTACTTCTTCACAGCCAGTCAATAATAGCAAGATTTCCTAAGTAGCCAGCAGGCACTTTATATAATTTACTGTCTTTCTTTGGGAGCAATTGTCTTCACTGACACACTCTAAGGTCCCACTGTCTTCAGACGTGGCAGATACCACCACTGATGTACCGTCAAGTGATGGCCCCAGAGTGCTTAGGAGAGAATTGTTGTGGGGCAAAAAGAAAAGTTAAAAGAAAATTAATGTATAGGTCATAGGAGTGTCTCAAGCTTCAATGTCATAGTGAAAAATAATGTTTTGTTTGGAACATTAAACATTTGCTCCCTTCCTCATACAGAAGGCAAGTGTGTATCTAAAAAGCTAATATTTATTTAGGACCTACTGTGAGCCAGTCCCTTCTCAGCACTTATACAAATGTCATCTCATTTAATTACTTATTTCTATAATCCTCAAACATTGTGAAATAAACATTATTACCCAGTAAAGAGACTTGACAATATAATTACAGGGGAACCCTGCAATAGCAAGCAGGTGAAAGCTACAGGAGCAGAAATTTATATAGTTACATGAGCTCCTGGAAACCTGACCGAAATTCCTAAGAAGTTGTTGATGTTTCAATTAAAGAAATGATTTCTTAGAAGGAAAGCTTTCCTTTTTGATAATGGTTTAAATGAGTTACAGATAACACATAAAAAATAATAAGGATAATTAATATGTATTTAATATTTGCTAAACATCAGGCACTGTTAAAAGTGAATTACCTCATTTATTCCACACAATTTGTTAGAATATGAAGTATTATTATGCCCATTTTATAGATAAGAAACCAAGGACTGGAGAGATTATGTAATTTGCCAAAGTCACATAGGAGCTGAATCAAAATTTGAACTCAGGCAATTTGGTCCTTGACTGTAACCCTAAGAGCCAATTCACCTTCTTTTTCAAATAGCATTTATCAGCGTTTTTAAAATACAATTCACAAACACAAGTAATTTACACTAAAGACATGTCCATGAAGATCTGAGTTCATGCTTTAAGATTTAAAAAAAAAAAACTACATTTCATGTATCCCAGGTCATTCCAATAACCTCATTTACCAATACATGTTTAAAATTTAATTGTGAAGTTTCTTTGAAAAGATGCCCTTCTACATTCTCAAACCCTTCTTTCTTTACATATGAAATATGACAACTCTGTAGCTTATAATCACCTCCTTAATATGAGGTTTTTGAAATGGTAAATTGTTGTGAGATGAAAAGTAGATCTCATATTTCTTGGGGCTAAATTCAGTACTCAGCTACAAATGTGGTCACAAGGTCTCCTGACTGGGGTCTTTTATTTTACTTTAATTAAGTTTCAGCTATTATTATTACAACTGCCTCTAAAGGTGCATAAAGTATGTTGGGAAACCCTTTTTTTGAGGGAATCTATATTTGTTTTTCCCTAATCAATCTTGAGATTAATCTTATGTTTATTCCCACTATCTGCTAGGTGCTCTGTGCTCTTGCATCCTCTTAGATTGGTCTGAAACCATGTTTAAAAATCAGAAGATTTGCCTAATATTAAACCTGGTTTGAAAAATGTCTCTTTTGCCCTAAATGGAAATTACTCTAGAAAGGTGCTGGCTGCATCCTTGGGCACACTATTGTGGTTGCAAGTCAGCTCCATCTCTCAGTTTGTGGTCCCAGAGTGGCCAAAGACAGGCTGCTACTCCACCGTGTCTCTGTAGCAGTTGGCAGCCAACAGCTCTCTATGGGGAACTCAGAATGGAAAGGCAGCCAATCATGCATGGTGTAATTTACATCTGATTGATGAAGGTCTAAGAATCACAGAAACAATTAATTTTTATCAGGATTCCTGTGGGCCAAAAAGTAAGAGATTGTGCCACCAGTACCCAATTTTAATTTTTGCCTTGATCAATCACCTGCCTTTCCACATGTACTTTGTTTTCAGAATTAACTTTTCAACTGCCAATGTTAAAGGATGCAGCAGAAAGAGTTTCCGGAAAACACTCATTGATAAAACTTACTTGTAACTGTGCTACATTATCCCTTTTTCAATTTGATAATGGTAAGGCATTTTTCTTGGAACTGCAAAGGAGGATTTTAAAACTCTTTTTTAAATAAACCACTTTGTTTTTATTCATGTAAGAAATATTACAATGGCCAGCAGAAAGGAAAAAAAATAGTGACTACTTCCTAGGAGGAGAACAACAGCAGGAGCAATTTAAAATAAAAACAACTAAAGATGCCTTAACTTCATAGTTAAAAAATGAAATGAAAATTGCAAAAGCAATTTGTGGCAGGAAGCCTTGAAAATGCTCTAAGGATTGTTCTTATTTTGCATAAGCTATGGCCAATCTTTAAAATAGTCCATTAAGCCTACGTATATTTGATTCAACATTGTTGTAGGCAAAAGCCTCTCAATTATGAAATTGTAGAAGGATGGGTCTAACAGAATCTCATCTAATTATGGGAGCAAATTACAAGTTCATAAACTTCATAAAGCATTCTAATAACTTTTCTTATTAAGAAATCTCACTACTCAAACCAGGAATATATCAAATACATTCATATTTTTTCTATCATTCTTGGCATGTAATTGCCCTTTACTTGTAAGAATGCACAAACAATGGAAAATAGCATCTATCATTTTTTTATTGATCAAATGTTTAAATTAGTATTAACCTTTTTCACACACTTCTAAAAGATGATTTAATATGAATGCAATCTTTTATATTTGCTTTGCAACTATCCAGCATTGCTTCCTAATCTTATGGATGTGGGAAATGAAATGGAGGAAAGTAAAATGGCTCATGTCAATGTATGCAGGAAGCCGAAGCAGAAATTAGAACCCACACAGCCTTAGAGGTATTTCTTTGTTTTCTTTCCTAAGTCAAAAAAAGGGATTAATAACGTATCAAATATGCAGTATTTGCTTTTCTATCATCTCTGGTGGCTTGTACACTAAACTGTCTTTAACAATATCAACTATTGTGGATGATTAGTTTGGTGATATGTAATAATATTCCTGTTTCTGCCTAACAAAAATTTTACACTGTGAAATGAGTGCAGTGTATTATGCCAACCCTATGAGATAGCCCTGAACTCCCTTCACTTGGGGAAAGATGGACTGACTACATTAAAAAAAAAGCACAGACCTTGATCAGTCAACTATGAATACCCACTCAACCCCTCAGAAGAGGGGTGCTTTTACTGAGCACAGACTTGCTACCTCATATTATTATAAGTCATGTTAAATTTAATCAGTTCCATAGTATGATTGCTGTTTCAGCATCCCCTGTAATCCTTTCTGTGGATATGCTTATGGCATTTCAATCATTTGTGTTGTCCTATTATGTACCATTTTCACAGCATAAACAGGAAAACTGTAATTTTTAAATAGTAGAAACATTTCTTTTCCATTTGTTTTAATTCATTATCTTAGCATGAAAAGCTGAAGTTTGAGAACATTTTGTGTTAATATCTATCATCATTTATTGTATAAGTAATAAAATGTGGGTTTCCAGCTTGTCTTTTTTCTAAGATCTAACAAGGCAGGTACGTTTTATATTTGAGACTAAGGAGAGGAAAGAAAGAAAAGACCGTGAACGCAGAGGGTCTTTCTTGTTTCTTTGGCTCAGGGAGGCAGTTACCAACATCCTATGAGTCTCTGATTCAGCCCAAGGTTAGAAGTGACCAAAGCCACAATTCATCATGCCCATAACTGCCCTACCATCTAGTTTTGTGGGCCAAGTGACACAGGTTCCCACCCATGAAATTTTTGAACAGCCCAGGCATAGCCTTTTAACAACCTCCACCTTTCAGTGGCAGCAATTTAGAGCCCTTACACTCGATAGCTGGGCCAATCTTTTGGGATGAAAGCAGACGTGGTAGGATGAGGAGGAGATCCCTCACCCCTCAGGCCTTGACTATAGTGTAAGGATGGTGCTTTGTAATAACATTCTCTACCCTCCAACACGGAGCCTGCTAACTCAAAGATTTGCAAGAGAAAATCGAAATAAAAGCTACAACACTGGCTGTGCACTGATCTGTACGGACTAAAACCACATGCAATTCCTGAAGGGGGAAAAGCTGCAAATAATGCAAAACATATTTTCTATTTTCTGTAATATAAAAGCAATTAATCCTATTAACCAAGGCCACATGCAAAGTCCATTTTAACTAACCTGCATCAACTTGAAACAACATGAGGGATGATAGAAAGTGAATTAAGCATCACACAGTCTCCCAAGCCCAGCTTTGAGCAGACAGCAAGTGCCAGGACAACTAGGTTAATATGAGGCCTTTAGTGTCACTTTTATACAATGGAAGTGATATATAAAATTGATATTTTCTATTTCATACATAAAACAAATATATTTTATACAGTTCTCAATAATACTTCAACAAAGATACTGAATACTAATAAGCAATGTTGATATCTCATATAGCGCTTAAATCCATACACGACACTTCTGTGTTTTGAATCTGTAAAGTGTGCAGCAGGAAGCCTTATTGAGATAATTGGCAGATTAGCTTTATTGAGTTTTTACTTATTACAATCAATTAACAGAGGGAACCAATCTAAATAGCAAATAGCTCCTTGGCACCAACTGCAGCTATGAAATCCCTGAATTCCTTGATTCTATGACCCCAGATGAAGCATAGGAAAGTTCCTGAATATGGCGGAGTTTTGGTTGCAGGGTTACACTAGAGGCCATCACCTCATAAGGTTGATTTTTAGCTGCTGAGATCCATTTATTCATATTTCACTAATTCAACAAATACGTATTGAGTATCTTCTATGTACCTGGTACTGTAATAAGCATAGGGAATCAGAATTTTAAAAATCACTGCCTTTAAGGAAATATTAATCTAATAAATTAGTTATTCTTAATTTTTGTCTGCTCCAATAAGCCTAAGAGCTAGGACACAGTCCACTCAGTAAGAGTGGCTTCCTGTGGAAGTAACTATCAAGCTAAGGAGGTAGGTGTGTGGAAGAGGCAGGATGGGCTGTCTCAATTTTTTAAATTTGAAAAACAGATTTTTCCTTCTTTTGGTGGAGAATCACTATAATAAACATAACTAAATAGACATAAAGCTCCTTTCCCACTCAAAGAGGCTTCCATATGATTATATTACTAAACACTCATTACCTCATTACTAGACCCAGCATCATCTGTTAAAAGATAAAGAGAATAAATAACTCACTGATTTTCTTGCTTCGTTAGCCAAAGAAGGAGGCATGAAAAATACCAACATAAGCAGCTACCACTTATTGAATGTTTCCCATTGACAGCTAACTAATTTACGTATATTTTGTCATTGACTCATTATAAGAACTCGATACAGTAAGTACTATTATTACTGGGTGACCCTATATTCTGCTTTGCCTGAACAGTACCAGTGTGCACCTGTTATTTTAATTATTAATAGTTCCTCCTTTCACTCTCAAATGTGTGCCAACTGGGCAATATTCTTTTGTCTATATAACATGTTCATATAATTCAACTTAGTTGATGATTTTATAGTCTCATGGCGTTTATAGAAAGTCTTTCTAAAATTCTATTCAAATAACCCTGGTGTCTCATTTGGATTTCTGAAGATGAGCCTTCAGGAAAAAACTGAATCCTACAGCCTCTAATAAATTCCATTTCCACTCAATGTGTTCACTAGGAGGCATGAAGACAAAGGGCATAGAATGAACAATGTTGCTATTGTTTGAGAGTCTCTGTCTCCCTAAAATTCGTATGTTGAAATCCTAACCTCCAAGGTAATGGTATTTGGATGTGAGGCCTTTGGGAGGTGATTATATCATGAGAACAGAGCCCTCATTAATGAGATTAGTATCTTTATAAAAAAGTCCAAGAAAGACCCCTCAGCTCTTCCACCATATGAGGACACAGCTAGAGGGTGCCATCTGTGGACCTGGAAGTTGGTTCTCACCAAATACCAAATGTGCCAATGCCTTAATCTTGGACTTTCCAGCTTCTAAAACTGTGAGAAAGAAATTTCTATTTTGTTTATAAGCTACA
Organism: Homo sapiens; assembly: GCF_000001405.40. Taxonomy (NCBI): domain Eukaryota; kingdom Metazoa; phylum Chordata; class Mammalia; order Primates; family Hominidae; genus Homo; species Homo sapiens. Next base: position 97,553,242 of record NC_000006.12, on the reverse strand, counting down.
GAGTTTATGGTATTTTGTTATAGCAGTACAAATGGTCTAAGAGAATTACATGCTAGTGTCATAGATCTAGAAGGTGTATGCCTCCCTGCAGCTATATAGAAGTATTGGCTATTGGTCAGAAAATCTTATGAGATGTGTTTCCACAGGATATATAAACCAGTGGCAACTATTTTATACCAAACTTGGAACTCATTACAAAGAGTAAGATTAAATGGAAGAGAATGATTATACCTTTTTAAAGTTTACTATAATGGGATTTGAATGTGAATTCCCAATCGTAGATCCCCTTTCCTATTAAGAATTAAAATGTATCAACAGCTTTGGAAAAAATATAATGGCCCATATGTTTTAGAATTTGACAAAAGTAACAAAGTTGCATATATTATTGAGTTCAATATGATGATAGCAAAAAGGCAAATGGGAGTGCCAAAATAGAGGGCAAAAGTGAAGCAGCTATATAAATGGGATGATTTAGCACTCAGTGAAGGAAACAGAATTCTTCCTGCGACCAAATTTTACAACATTTACATGTACACTGATGATTTTTTTCATAGTACTTTTCAAACATACTTATCAGATTGTTTGGACTATATAGATCAATGCATCTCAGCCTTGCTCACGTGCCCATTGTACACATGTGCACTTGTAATGACCAACAAAGTTCCACTGATGGCAGCAGTTTCAAAAACAAGCTTCCTAGATAATCACTAACCGCCCCCACCAACCATACTATCAACCTAATAGTGACCTTTTCATCAGGTATAGTTGTTAGAATTTCTTTGTCACTAATTCATCATTATAGCCAACACATATTGATTTATAGTCTGGTAAGGAGAAAATTCCACTTACAGGAACTTTGACTGTTTAGGAAATAGTCTGAATCATCCAGAATTATCTGTAAAAGCATCTTTAAATGTTTTTTCATCTCTGAAATTTGGTTTAGTCTCTGAGGTAATGGTTTGGCATGTGAAGTCATCTTTACCAGGACAGAAAAATTTCTTGTATAACTAGAGTAAAGGGGAACAGAGTTTAATTACTCATGTGTTTTTAAAGAGCACAACTTTATTGGAAATAATTACTTGTTTGCCCAAATATTTGTAGAGATTTTGTGACATAATTAAAAGCACAAAGACTACAGATTAGGAAAAGGAAGATTTTCTTTAAGGAAATGTTATGTAAGCAAAGTTTTTGTTACTGATTGAGTTTGAATCATTCCTCATTCATTTTTTCCTTCATTCATGATTTCTGAAATTATTTGAAAAATTATAAAGGAAGTTAGCAGCAGATGTATTTTATCATCATAAATAGTCACTCATTAAGGGGACTCATCTAACGCATGGCGTAAAGTCCCTTTACTTAGAATGATGAGGTCCTCATAAGAGCACCTGTCTACCTAAACTGCATACTTGTGAACCATCCAAGTGCCCTTCAGGATGATGAGCTTTTGATTAGCCCTTTCAATTAGTGTTTATTTTCCTAAGTAGAATACTCACAACAGTTTCAAAGCTCTGAATCTCCTTTAATCGCTGCCTTTAAATTAAGAGGAATAGATTTTTATAACTGGTCTCTTGCTGCTTTGACCAAAAGATCAAGTACGAATGCAATTTAAATATGAAAACCAGCATCTTATTTAGAGTGAAGACTCACTCTAAACTAAAGGTGAAAATTCACTCTAACTCCATTAAGTAAAAGCTAATACTATGCATCCAGACACTGACATATACTTGATTGATAGTTGTGCTTTCCCATCAGTGGAAAGATGAAAACAATAATTTTCTTGAGGAAACTGCACAAACGTATTCAACTTACACCACTTTTCCCAAATACCTTAGAAATCTAATATTCCTAGTTTCATTTCTAAATACCTCATGAAATTGGATGTTTTAAGTCACTATAAAAAATCTATAAAGGACATTATTGAAGCAATTGGGAAATTTGAATATAGAATATATATCAGATAGTTCTATTGCATCAATACAAAATTTCTTGTGAATGGTAGTGGTAACGCAGTTAGGTAGGAGAATGTCTTTGTATATTTACAAGATAGAGGCTGAAGCATTTAGGGGTGAAAAATCTGCAACCAACTTTCAAGTTTTTCAGCAAACTATATTTATACATATACATATAAATAAATATACATAGCCAGGTAAGTAGATAGATAATAGCAAATATGGTGAAATCTTAATAATTAGTGAATCTAGACAAAGACTGCAAGTTTATTTATTTTATTTTTCTTCCAACATTTTTCTACAGACTTGAATTTATTCAAATTTAAAGCTGTGAAAAACTTACTCTATTTGCCACAATTATCATCTCCAAATTTTGAAGCCATTTATTATTTATTGACAAAAAGAGAGCTTCTCGCAGGATGGCTGGAAAACAATGCATTCTGCAGAAGCAGGAAAAAGTAAATCCAACTAGTGAGGATAGGCAAGAAATTCAGGGTAAGTCCAATGGCTGAGAAGTCAAAAGGTACCTGAAAAGCTCAGCGCTAAGTCAGCCTACTGTTGATTTTGCTCCTTTTTGGGCCACAGTACCAGTAATTCACCTCCTGAGTTATTGTGTGTCCCAAGGTCTTTGCACTAACTTCTATTTCTAATGCTTAAGTGTGTGTTTCCACCACACCTCTCCCCATCTAGTGCTTCCTGACCCCATGCCTGAGTACCTATTAGCATCCCTGTCAAGTAAACTCCTCTAGAACTAGGTCCCTTTTTTTTTTTTTTTTTTTTTTTTTTTTTTTGAGACAGAGTCTCGCTCTGTCACCCAGGCTGGAGTGCAGTGGTGCGATCTCCGCTCACTGCAAGGTCCACCTCCCAGGTTCACGCCATTCTCCCTCAGCCTCCTGAGTAGCTGGGACTACAGGTGCCTGCCACCACGCCCAGCTAATTTTTTGTATTTTTAATAGAGACAGAGTTTCAGCACTGTGTTAGCCAGGATTGTCTCAGTCTCCTGACCTTGTGATCCGCCCACCTCGGCCTCCTAAAGTGCTGGAATTACAGGCATGAGTCACTGTGCCCAGCACAGAGAACTCTTATATGACAGATCACTTCACACAGGTCTCCATGGGGACAATGTGGGTCCCTAGATATGGTATTTGATATGGTTTGTCTATGTCCCCGCCCAAATCTCATCTTGAGTTGTAGCTCCCATAATTCCCATGTGTTGTGGGAGGGACGTGGTGGGAGATAATTGAATCATGGGGGCGATTTCCCCACACTGTTCTCCTGGTAGTGAATAAATCTCATGAGATCTGATGGTTTTATATGGGAAAGTCCCTTTTGCTTGGCCCTCATTCTCTCTTTGCCTGTTGCCATTAAGACGTGCCTTTCGACTTCTGCCATGATTGTGAGGCTCCCCAGCTACGTGGAACTGTGAGTCCATTAAACCTCTTTTTCTCTAAAAATTACCCAGTTTCAGGTATGTCTTTATCAGCAGCGTACATTCATTGGCAGATGCATCACAACAATAAATATGTCATGAGCCAATGACAAGGTATATCAAGAATTACGAGGTTCACAATGAAGATTAAAGTTAACAGATTACCTAGGGTTACATGCTATATCATGTTTCAGGCCCAGATTCTCTTGTGGCTACCAAGAGGTGCATATCTTTTCAAAACCATCAAAATTTCAAAATTTTAGGTGGGTAGTGGTCTAGAGAAAGAATATCATCACAAAAATCTAAAGCCCTAGGTCTCTGTACCCCTACTGGCAAAACACAAGACTATAGATAACAGGCTTCTTATCTTCTGTCAGTAGTCTGTTACCTTCCCCACATTAGGGCTAAATTCCATGCTGCTCATTCTCATTAACTGTATCCTTCACATCGCTTCCCCAGCACCACCCCCCACACCTGCTTCAACACACCTGGACTCACCATGTTTTAGTGTTTTGATAACTGTTCCACACACTAAACTATAAACTCTATCAATGGTGGAAATTATGTTTATTCACCTTTGTCCTCTCCATGCCTAACACTGGGCCTGGTATGTGGCAGGTGCTCAAAAATATGTTTGCCAAATTTAACTTCACATACTCCAAATACAGTTAATCTTATGACCTCTTGTAGGCATGAATTAAGTTTAGGATGAGGGGCTAATTTAAGATCAGTTTAATAGCCAAAATAATGTTTTCATCATATTATAAATCCAATTCTTCCAATGTGTTTTCATCAAGAAAAGAACATGTTCTGAGAGATCAACAACTACCAAAGAAATCTCTGCGTCAATAAATCCTCTGAGGGACAGAATTTTTAAACTGAACAAATAATATCTGAGTCTCATGCAAATATGAGACTTTAATAGTAAATATAAGACTAAATCATAGGGGCACTGTGATGGTTAATTTTAAGTTTACTTGGCTGGGTCACAGTGCCCAGATATTTGGTCAAATAGTATTCTGGATGTTTCTGTGAGGGTGTTTTTGGATGAGATTTATACTTAAATCAGGTGACTTTAAATAAAGTGGATTACCATCCATAAGTGAGTAGGCCTCATCTAATCAGCTGAAGGCTTGAATGGAACTAAAGGCTGACCTAAGAACGAAAGGAAATTAGATAGCAGACTGCTTTCAGACTTCTACAAAATCAGCTTAATTCCAACTCTTCTGAGTCACCTCCACAATCACATAAGCTGAGTCCCTTAAATACATATTTTTATTTATTTATTAATTCATATACTTAATATTATATACAAAATTCATGAATATTTATATATTCATTAATATTTCATTTATAATTCATTTATATTATATATAAATACATATATATATGTACACACACCTCTTTGTCCTTTTGGCTCTGTTTCTCTGGAGGACCCTGACTAGTACAAATAGTAGTAAGAAAAGAATTTACCACTCAAGACTAAAGACATGATCTGCCATCCCACTTCAGAAAGACATACCCCGCCCTACTTCTATATGTGAAGAATCCCAAAGTTTTACCATAACTACTTAGAATTTATGGCTATATTTCTATAGTCTTATAGGATACCTGGGTCATGTTGATTGAGCTATTGCATTTACAGAAAATTAAGGACAAGAGAGAGCAAGCTTCAATCTAAGGAGACTTCTTCCCATTTCCCATACAATCACCAGTACTTAGTTTCATAAACACAAAATTCAAACACACATACACACATGCACATTCATTCTCTGTGAGCTTTATGCTACCCTCTCTGGAATCCTCTTGGTTTTATCAATACCTGAGTCTACCACAGTGCAAGAGAATGAATGTTTATGTCGCTCCCAAATATACATGTTGAAATCCAAATTCCAGTGTGATAGTATTAGGATGTGGGACGTTTGGGAGTTAATTAGGTCATGAGGGTGGAGTCTTCATGATTGGAATTGGTGCCTTAAGAAAGCGACCCCAAAGAACCCTCTTGCCCTCTTTATACCACGTGAAGATACAAGAAGAAGATGGCAGTCTGCAAAGAAGGCCTTCCTCAGAACCCAACCATGCTGGTACTCTGATCTTGGACTTTCATCCTCTAGAACTGTGAGAAATAAATTTCTGTTGTTTATAAGCCTCCCATTCTATGGTACTTTGTTATAGCAGCATGGACTGAGTAAGAAGAATGAGCTGAACCCACCACCCCAGCTGATGTAGCCTGGCTAGAAGATGTAGTTTCACTGTGGTCCCTCTGTATGAGGACTGGTAAACACTCAGGCTGTGAAAGTTATTCTAACAGAAAACCTCAATACATAATGACAAGAAAGTTTTAATATAAATAGACTCCACTCAATCTCGTGAGCTAAGGAACCATTTCTCCTTTGAGTGTCAGTCCTGCCAGTGACGTCAGGATATAGGCCTATTGTCTGGCATTCAGCTTCCATCTTTCAATGCATATATGTTAGAAAATGATTAGATCTAAGAACGTCCACCTAGTGCAATATAGTCACGATAGAGTTTTCAGTCAGTCATGTATTTATTCAATCAGTAAAAGTCCCTAATCTATTTTTTTTTTTTTTTTTGAGACGGAGTCTCTGTCGCCCAGGCTGGAGTGCAGTGGTGCCATCTCGGCTCACTGCAAGCTCTGCCTCCTGGGTTCACGCCATTTTCCTGCCTCAGCCTCCCGAGTAGCTGGGACTACAGGCACCCAGCACCACAACCGGGTAATTTTTTGTATTTTTAGTAGAGATGGGGTTTCACCGTGTTAGCCAGGATGGTCTCTATCTCTTGACCTCATGATCTGCCCGCCTCGGCCTCACAAAGTGCTGGCATTACAAGCTTGAGCCACTGTGCCCGGCCATCCTAATCTATTTAAATATTTGCTGAGCCACTATACTATCCTGAACATTGTGCTAATGTCCAAAGATATGCTAGTGAGCAAAGACAATCCCTGAAAACAGTATTCCCTTTTTCTCCTTAAGCTCATATGCCAGTTGGGAAGGTTGATGTTAATCAATGAATCACAGAAATGAATATGCAATTGAACTGTATTTTGTCGTAAAAGAGAGGAGGCATACGGCATAAGAGAGCATTGACATGGGCCAGGGTCCACAATGGTCCCCAAGATTTCTACCCCCTGGTGTATATATCCTGTATAATCCCCTATCCTTGAGCATGGGCAACACGTGTAAATGAAATAAGGTATCTCTCCTATGATTAGGTTACTCATCAGTTGGCTTTGGGTTCATCAAAAGAGAGATTATCCTAGGTGTACCTGGATGGACCTCACCCAATCAGAGGAGCTTTTCAAAGACGGTGAAGTAGGGAGATGGAACAAGATGGGAGAATAAAAGGCTCCAACAATCGTCACCCTCACCCACCCACAAACACCAATTTAACAACTATCTAAACACAAAAAAGCACCTTCATAAGAATCAAAAATCTGGTGAGCACTCACCTGAAAGAGGCACTGAAGAGGTAGGAAAAAGTCTTGAATCTCCGACGCCACATCCTCTCTCATCCCCAGCAGTGACAGTGTGGTACAGAGAGAAAAATCTGAGCACTTGGGAAAGGGAGAGCACGGCAATTCTGAGACATTGCATTAAACTCAATGTTGCCCTGTTATAGCAGAAAGCAAAACTAGAAAGAACTCAGCTAACATCCATGCAAGAGAGAACATTTAGCCCGGCCTTGGCCAAAGGGGAATTGCCCATCCCAGTAGCTTGAACTTCAGTTCCTGCAAGCATCATGACTGCACAGGCTAAAGTGCACTGGGGCTCTAAATAAACTTGAAGAGCAGTCTAGGCCACAAGGACTGCACTTTCTAGGAGAGTCCTAGTGCCTGTTGAACTGGGCTCCACGACTGTGGACTGTGAGAGCAGCAACCTACTGAAACACTAGCCAGGGTAGCTAACAGAGTGCTGGTGACATACCTCCCCTAACCTGAGGCTGCATAGCTCACAGCTTTCAGAGAGACCCCATCTTCCACTTGAGGAGAGGAGAGGAGAGGGGAGAGTGGGGAGGACTTTGCCTTGCATCTTACATGCCAGCTTAGCCACAGCAGGATAGGGCACCAGTCAGAGTCATTAGGCACTCTTTTCAGGCCATAACTCCTGGATGACATTTCTAGACACAATCTGCACCAGAAGTGATATGGTTTGGCTATGTCCCCACCCAAATTTCATCTTGAATTGTATAATAGCTCTCACAGTCCCCATGTATCCTGGGAGGGACCTGGTGGGAGGTAATTGAATCATGATGACAGGTTTTTCCCATGCTGTTCTCATGATAGTGAGTAAGTCTCATGAGATCTGATGGTTTTATGAAGGGCAGGTCCCCTGAACATACTCTCTTGCCTGCCGCCATGTAAGATGTGCTGTTGCTCCTCCTTCACCTTCTGCCATGATTGTGAGGCTTCCCCAGCCATGTGGAACAGTAAGCCCATTAAACCTATGCCCTCAGTGATGAATCCCAGGACAGGCAGCATTCACCAAGCTGACTGAAGAGCCCTTGGGCCTTAAGGTAACATCAGTGGTAGCCTGGCAGCACTCCCTGTGGGCCTATAGTGGCAGTGGTCATGAGATCTTGCTTACAAGAAACACACTTCACCTACAAAGAAACACATAGACTAGAAATAAAGGGATGAAAAAAAAATCCCATGCTAATGAAAACCAAAGAAAGCAGGAGTAGCTATATTTACATCAGACAAAATAGATTTCAAAACAAAGGACACTATATAATGACAAAGGGATCAATTCAGAAAGAGAATACAATAATTTTAAATATGTATACACCCAACACTGGAGCACACACACGTATAAAGAAATTATGATTAGAGCTAAAAAGAGAGATAGATCCCAATAAAACAGTAGCTGGAGACTTTAACATCCCATTTTCAGCATTGGACAGATCTTCCAGGCACAAAATAGACAAACATAAAACTTAATCTGCACTATAGATCAAATGGACCAAATAGATATTTACAGAACATTTTATCCAATGGCTTCAGAATACACTCTCTTTTCCTTAGCACATGGATCATTCTCAAGGATATACCATATGTTAGATCACAAAATAAGTCTAAAAACATTCAAAACAATGAAATAATATCAAGCATCTTCTTTGACCACAAAGGAATAAAATTAGAAATCAATAACAAGAGGAATTGTGGAAACTATAACAACATGTGGAAATCAAACAGTATGCTTCTGAATGACCAGTGAGTCAATGAAGAAATTTCAAAGGAAATTGAAAAGTTTCTTGAAACAAATGATAATGGAAACACAACATACCAAAACCTATGGGATACAGCAAAAGAAGTACTAAGAGGGAAGCTTATATCTCTAACTGCCTACATCAAAAAAGAAGAAAAACTTCCAATAACCACTTTAACAATGAATCTCAAATAACCAGAAAAGCAAAACAAACCCAAAATTAGTAGAAGAAAAGAAATACTAAAGATCAGAGCATAGACAAATTTGAAATGAAGAAAACAATACAAAACGATTAATGAGAAAAAGTTGTGTTTTGAAAAGTTAAACAAAATTGACAAAACTTCAGCTGACTAAGAAAAAAAAGGGAAGATCCAAATAAATAAAATCAGAGATAAAAAAGAACACATTGTAATGGATACTGCAGAAATTCAAAGGATCATTAGTGGCCACTATGAGCAAATATATGCCAATAAGTTGAAAAATCTGGGAGAAGTGGGCAAATTCCTAGGCACATATAACCTACCAAGATTGACCCATGAAGAAATGCAAAACCTGAGCAAACCAATAACCAGTAACGAGATCAAAGCCATAATAAAAAGTCTCCCAGCAAGGAAAGCCCAGGACCAGATAGTTTCACTGCTGAATTCTGTCAAACATTTAAAGAACTAATATCAATTCTGCTCAAACTATACGGAAAATAGAGGAGGAAAAAATACTTCCAAACTCATTCTATGAGGCCACTATTACACTGATGCCAAAACCAGACAAAGACGCAAGCGAAAGAAAACTATAGGTCAATATCTCCAGTGAACACTGATGCCAAAATTCTCAACAAAATACTAGCAAACTGAATTCAACAATACATTAAAAAGATCATTCATCATGACCAAGTGGGATTTATCTCAGGAATGCAGGGATAGTTCAACACATGCAACTTCAACAGTGTGATTCATCATATCAACAGAATGAAAGACAAAAACAATATAATCATTTCAATTGATACTAAAAGAGCATTTTATAAAATTTAATATCTCTTCATAATAAAAACCCTCAAAAAACTGGGTATAGATGGAACATACCTCAACATAATAAAAGCCATATGTGACAGACCCACAGCTAGTATCATACTGAATGGGAAAAAACTGAAAGCCTTCCCTCTAAGATCTGGAACACAGCAAGGATGCCCACTTGCACTACTGTTATTCAATATAGTACTGGAAGTTCTAGCAAGAACAATCAGACAAGAGAAAGATATTAATGGCCTCCAAATTGGAAAGGAAGAAGTCAAACTATCCTTATTTGCAGATTACAGGATCTTACACTCGAAAAAAATCTAACTCCACCAAAAACTGTTAGAAAAGATAAACAAATATAGTAAAGTTGCAGGATACAAAAATCAATAGCATTTGTATATGCCAAAAGCAACTTGAAAAAGAAATCAAGATAGTAATCCTATTTATAATAGCTACTAATAAAATTAAATACCTAGAAACTAACCAAAGAAGAGAAAGATCTCTGCAATGAAAGCTATAAAACATGGATGCAAGAAATTGAAAAAGATGCAAAAAGTGGAAAGATATTCCTTGTCCATGGACTAGAAAATCAATACTGTGAAAATGTCCATATGACCCAAAAATCTGCATATTTCATCCAATCCCTATCAAAATATCAATGACATTCTTCACAGAAATAGAAAAAACAATCCTAAAATTTATATGGAAGCATGCAAGATCCAGAATACTTAAAGCTATCCTAAGCAAAAAGAACAAAACTGACTTCAAATTATATTACAGAGCTATAGTAACCAAAAATCTCATGAAACTGGCGTAAAAACAGACACATAGACCAATGGAACAGAATAGAGAAACCAGAAATAATTCATACGTCTACAGTGAACTCATTTTCAACAAAGGTGGCAAGAATATACATTAGAGAAAGGACAGTCTTTTCCATAAATGGTGCTGGGAAAACTGGATATCCCTTTGCAAAATAAGAAGACTACACCATTATCTCTCACCATATACAAAAAAAGTGAAATCAAAAAATATTAAAAACTTAAATTTAGGACCTCAAACTATGAAACTACTAAAAGAAAACATTGGGGAAATTCTGCAGGACATTGGAGTGGGCAAAGACTTTTTTGAGTAATGACACACAAGCACAGGCAACCAAAGCAAAATGAACAAACGGGATCACATCACGTTAAAAAGCTTACGCCTGTAATCCAAGCACTTTGGGAGGCCAAGGCGGGTGGATCTTGAGGTCAGGAGATCAAGACCATCCTGACCAACATGGTGAAACTCCGCCTCTACTAAAAATACAAAAATTAGCCGGTTGTGGTGTCTTGTGCCTGTAGTCCCGGCTACTCAGGAGGCTGAGGCAGGAGAATCGCTTGAACCCGGGAGGCAGAGGTTGCAGTGAGCCAAGATCGCGCCACTGCACTCCAGCCTGGGTGACAGAGTGAGACTCCATTTCAAAAAAAAGAAAAAAAAAAAAAAGCTTCTGCATAGCAAAGGAATCAAAACAGAAACCCACAGAATGGGGGAAAGTATTTGCAAACTTCCCATCTGACAAGGGATTCATAACCCAAATATATAAGGAGCTCAACCAATTCTATAGGAAAAAATCTAATAATCCAGTTAAAAATTGGCAACAGATCTGAGTAGATATTTCTCAAAAGAGGACATACAAATGGCAAAAAAAAAAAAGGCATTTGAGAAGGTTCTCAGTATAATCAATCATCAGAGAAATGCAGATCAAAACTACAATGGGATATCATCTCATCCCAGTTAAAATGGCTTTATCCTAAAGACATTGTATGTCAGTATCAAATTATTTCATGTAACCCATAAATATATATACCTACTATATACCCAGGAAAATTAAAAATTAAAAAATTTAAATTAACAATAAATGTAAAAGTAAAATATAAAAGAAGGTGGAGCATCAGAAAGATGCACTCCTGCTGGCCTGGAAAAAAGTTAACAGCCATCTTATGGTCTCCCTATGGTGTCATGTGGCAAAGAGCTATACACAGCCTCTAGCTGCTGAGAACAGTCACTGGCCAACAGCCAGCAAGAAACAGGGGACCAGGTTGTAGTCATACAACCTCAGGGAATTTAATTCTACCAACTATCAGTGAGCATGGAAAAGAGCCCTGAGCCTAAATGAGAAAAGCAGCCAAGCCAAACCCTGATTTCAGCCTTGTAAGATCTGAGCAGAAAATCTAGCTAAGCCATGTGCAGGCTCTTAACCCAAGGAAACTATGAGATAATAAACTTGTGTTCTCCTAAGCAGCTAAATTTATGATCATTGGTTTTGCAGCAATACAAAACTAATACAAACATAGAAGATAGAGTTGACCTAGTCAGAGAAGGCTTTCTTGGGAAAGGGATATTTGAACTGAAATCTGAGGAATAAATTGAATTTAACCAGAGGAAAGGTGTTGGAGGTATGGAAATCAGATACAAAGGATTTAGATTTAGAATCTTTAAAAGGCTTGGGGCTAAAGGAAGCATGGCAAACACAAGAAATATAAAGACATCTAGAGTGGTAAAGAAGGGGGAAATAGAAAATTATGTGAGGGGAGGGCAGGGGTGGGGGAGGTAGATAAAGCAGGACTTTGAAGACCATGTTAAAGAATCTGATTTTATTCCCAGTGATCAGTGTTACTGTTCTTTTCCCCTAGTGTTATCAGGAGTATCTTTTACTGGAGATTTTCATCCCAGGAGTCTCTGGGAGAAGCTCTATAGCTTTTAATTCTGCTGCTTGATGAGATAAGGATCATCCTACCTTGCCCAAGATCCTTCAGTGGACATATAGGGTGCTCTATCTTCTAGACTTATCTGAAGATCTTATGCTTCTTGATCACTTTCCGTCAAACTTTGAAATGAGTTGAGAATTAGGAACTATGGGGAAGGTGACAGGGGTGAGGAATAGAGGAGGAGAAAGAGAAAATTATCCGCATTGTCAAAACTGTAATATACTTCACCTCTAAACTCTTATTCTCTGACTTTTCTAACTGTCCTGCTGCAGATATAGGTCTTATATAAGAGGAACTCAGGATACAATAGAATCTTCCAAAAGTAGACATGTTTCTATAATGTAACATCAATATGATACCCTTTAAAGTAAGAGTAAGTGAAGTTTTCAAACACCTCTTTGGCCACTCTTTCATAATATATGAAAAGATTATGTTTCTCATGCAATATAAGATCCATCTTTTTTATTCTCTGACTTTTCATTCTAAAATTTAAATGCCAAAATTAAGTCAGTTTTTACATTTGAATCCCTTTAAGAAATCCACACCAACCTTGACTTAATGAGTCAAACAAACTGCTAAGGTTATCATAAAGAAAGCAAGTATTTCTCAGGTTTCCATCGCCTGCAAGGGAAAGTTTCACTGTTAAACACTTTTTAAAAGGTGACTGATAAAGTATAATACAAATTACATAAGTTATGGTTCACTAGATTCAGCAATTCCATATTATATAGAAATTTAATCAATCTTTCAGGGATTTCAGACATATCACAGTAGGAGGCACTTTTGACCTTTCATGGAGAGGTAAGCAAGATGAGGTACTGAACTGCATATTTCAGTGGGTTTGTTGGATTATGTATAATTGTCTTTTTCAGAATTTCTGGCTGAATTTGAGCCTTCCTATTCGGCAATTTATTCCATTTTACATATGAAAAGCAAAACCTACGATTTGCCTATTTGAATCAAAAATTTACCCTTATGCAAATCTAAATCATTTCTCTCTCTGCCTCAAGAAAGCTACAGAATAAATAAAGGAGGGTATCATGCAAAGCTATATGGATTACATTAAAATCATCCCCTTTGCAGCCCTTTTATTCTCCCTTAATAGTCCTGATTAACAGTGCTGGTCATAATTAATGAGTGTTCTGTTTCACTTTTTAAAGTGTGTCAGTTTGGATGACAAACTGTATGTTTATCCTAGTCAATTCTGGCACTATATCCAGGAAGTTAACCCTAATGCTTCTACCTAGTTGTTACTGTCCTATATTGGTATTGGATAAAGATGGAGAGGGGGTTACACCTTCTTCAATACAGGAATCAGTATAGCTCAAAACACTTCTTTGGGTTCCAAAGAAGTAGAGAATACTATGAAAGAGAAATAGAAAACCTAAAGATATGCTACTAAAGCACAATTCACCTACAAATAAAAAAGATAATAAAACATTAGCTTTTTATGAACAAAAATACAAAAAGTCATACACAATCTAATGTATATGACCCTTAACCCTTAGAATTGTGTTTTTTTCTCCATTCTAAAAGTTTTAACACTTAATATTTAAAACATAACAACATCAACAACAAAAACCTTAGAGTTTAACTAGTTAGAATTTCTCATTTGATAGATGAAGAAGTGAAGCCTCAGAGAGGACAATGATTTACCCCAAGACTACCCAACTTACTGACTACCAGGAACCTGAGTACCTTGACTGAATTGACAGTTCTTTCCCATGTCATGCTCTCTCTCTTCTTACAACTAGAATTATATATACAGCTGTCAGATTTTGAGTATATTTATAAGAAGGACTCACAAAGAACTCATTTGCCATTTATCCTGGCACAAGGTGCCGCCCTAAGAGCACAAACCTTAGCCACAGTCAGTTAAATATCTATCATAGTGCCCAGGCTGGTATAAAGCTAGAAGTTTTAGAAGTGTTTGTTTGTTTGTCTTTGCTATTCCAAGAACAAAAATATATTTTTCCCACATGACTTAATGGCCTTGGCAGATTACAGGTTTTAACTGACGTCCCCTGAGTGAGACTGTCAAAAATGGAGCAGAAGGATAGCCACAGCTTGGAACTGAGAACTGAACCTGCCAACTATTGGAGAGTTTGCTCAGCCTTCTAGTGAAAACTGGCCATCTCTACTAAAAGCAGAGAATAGAAACAAGGGATGGGTCAGATAAAATATTCTACCTCACAGGGGGTTTGTAGGGTGGTTAATTCGTTATATTTCTATAGTATGAGACAGTTTTCTTCTGGGAGAAAAGACAGTATTACTATACAAGTCAGTAAATAAACAGTTTAAGTTCACAGCGCAGAGCTGAATGCAGATTGATGATTTTTCAAATAGCTTATGGTAGTGATTATGACTATGAGTAATGAAGGGAAAAATGTATTTTTTAGACAAATTATGTAAACATTTTCAACTTGAAAATGCAAGCATTAACTATCAAGAACACAAATCTAGATTAAAAATAAAACAAAAGGACATTTTCAATGTATTTCTGTTCATTTTTCAGCACGAGTGAATTTTTTATGAAATTAATTTCCTTTGTATTTACAACAATGGATCAGAGTTAAAATGGAAAAATAAAACCAAATTAAAACAATGAGCTATTGTCTTTGTTTTCTAAACAAGAGGGAAAATAAAATCCTCACAGGTTTAGAAACAGTGATACATTTAAAAATTAATATTGGCAGTCTTTATTTACTTGACAATTTCAAGATTGTAATTAAAGACGCTCAATAAATGCATAATAGACACAGGAAAGCATTAAAGGTGACATTCCAACCATGAGAGCTCTTTTAGATAGTAACAAAAAGAAAAAAAAGGTCTAATTTTACTTTCATTGATAACCATATTCTCAGCTCTTTGAGAACCAGAACATTAGCATCCATAATTGTTTGAGGTGTATCTTACAGTTCAATGCTTCAAATTCACTCTTCCTTGTAGCGGGGGAAAAATGGTTAATAAGCGGTTAAATGAAGAGAGTCCAGTGTTTGCCTTTCCCTGGCAGATGCCCATGGCCTTGTCCATTTCTGCTTCTCTTGGTTCCCTAGAGCACCCTGTACGACACTAGAATATGGCAAATGCTTAAGGAAAATGTGTTGCCTCAACCACTGTACCTTACAAGGTAGGACTCTGAGCACCTGTAATAATGTATCTTAATAACCAGAACAAACACTTGCTCCTGCTAAATTCAGGCAGTAAAATTTTGCCCCTAGATTTTAATGGCTCTAAAACCTAGAAAAGGCCAAATCTTTTATAAAATGTTATCAGATAATACCTTCACCCAGGACTCTGAATACATTCACATAAAGTGTTCCCTGTCTTTCCATCAAGGTTTCTGTCAAGAATCTCTTAGCATCATTGGCTGTATTTACACTATCATTTCACTACCAAGATGAAGTAGTAATTTTCAAATGTGAAACAGAGCATAATAATACTTTAAAGGACAATTGACACTTTATTATGTAAGTCAGTGCCAACATTATGGGGAAAACCTTTAGGGATTAAATTGAAGGGTGACTTTGATCTAATGGTGTCCACAGTCCTACACAGGACTAGTGCCAACCAGTAATTCACCTGATTAACTCAAAAAAATTATTCAGGATTCCAAAAAACAAAATAATTCTCTAGAAAATTTAAGCTAAAACATTTTTGGACCAAATAGAGGCTAGCACAAGAATCTAAAAAGAAAGTGCAAAGAATGTTTAACATAATATAGAATCAAACAGGGACGTGTTCATATCTCTGTTGTCAAATGTTAATTTGAATTGTTGCTGGGGATTACTGTAAGACAAGAGTAGCAACGAGACTTGCAGATGTAGCAGATTCATTGTGTGCCTTATAACCAATCTAGATTCAGTGTGCCACCACCTGTAAACATGAGCAATAGATTTCTCTTTTTTAAATGGCCTGGAAAGTATTTAACAGGCTATCCTTGGAGAACTAACACTTTTTGAACTAATTAATCACCGAATGCCACCACTGCTCCAATCCAATGAACATGAAAAAGGAGTTATTGGGCGATAAAAAAAATTCTCTAGAAAAGAAAGTGTTGATACACCACTACTGGAGGGCAAACTCCCCTGCAAACATGTACAAGTTTTTTTCGAAGATCATCATTTTAAATAGCAGAAAAAAATCAGAAATGTGTTAATACTGACATTAATTTGAACATTTTTTATTTCCTTAGTACTTTGAAAGAAATAGGGGACAAAGAGCAGCTAGGTAATTAATACTAAGAATATTAAAAGGAAAAAGTGTTTTTACAGTAGCTAGAACTCTGGACTGGACTCAGCTGCAAAGGAGACTGAGTTCTATTTTTGGCTTGACAATTAACCAACTTTATAACTCCAGACAATTTACTTCAGCTCTGTTCTCAGTATCCAAAATAAAAAGTTTAGACTAGATGATGTTTAAGATCTCTTCCAGTCCTAATCTTCTATAAAATGTCAACATTTTTAGAACTACTTTTTCTTTCACATCTGTACAGCTTTGTCAATATTTATGCCACTATATAAGAGTTATGGTTTGGATTTAGCATTTACAATCAATATTTGAATTTTCATTATTACTTAGCTAAGTATCTCTGAATCCTGACACTGTTTGCTCTCTCACATACTTTAATAATAATAGTAAACAAGGGAATCTTTATGAAACCAAGCAGTACCTAAAGGTTGTGACTGACCAGAGACAAATATCAAACATAAGATACTTTGAATATATTATAAGCATCTTCTTCTTAGCACTTCAAAGCACAAAGCATTTTTCTTGTTCATTATATTCTTATGGTCTTCCAGTTATCTGCAGAATACTAAAATAGGTTTAACAAATGGAAGAGGTGCAAGAATTACGCAATTTGTTACAAGAACCCATGAAGTAAGAACTTTAGTTCTTGTTCAACTGTTCACTATGGAAAGCTACATAAAAATTACATAAGGTAAATGCACTAGATGCAAAAATCTGAAGACACCTGCCAACAGGCAAATGAAAATAAAATCTCTGCCAGCGAGGACCATAAATAGGGAGAATGCTAAGTGTGAGTCCACCCCAAATAGTCTAGTGCACTCAAATAACATATGATATACTCTCTCAGTAACAATAAAAATAACATTTTTTGAAATTTTACTATGAATGCA
The DNA here is from genome assembly GCF_000001405.40 of Homo sapiens. Taxonomy (NCBI): domain Eukaryota; kingdom Metazoa; phylum Chordata; class Mammalia; order Primates; family Hominidae; genus Homo; species Homo sapiens. The sequence goes on along the minus strand of NC_000006.12, from coordinate 97,535,735 downwards.
TAATAATTGTGATAAGTACTTCACATAAATTTTTCATTACAGAGGCTGGAGAGCTGAAACTACATGTTCTAAATTTCCTTGTATCTAGAATTCCAGATATAGTTTAGGTATTAACAATTATACGCATTTGCATGATACTTGAATTCAGTACTAATCTAAGTTGGGGGGAAGTTGTGATGCACAAATCATTCATTTTTTCTGGGTCAGAACTAGTAGATGTGGTATGACTCTGGAGTCTAGAGTTCTAGTGGTAGATTGTTGATTCCCCAGCCTCTTAATTGTAGTAGAGTCTGTGATTTTCCTGGCAGAACTGTTCTGCCACTCTTCTGTGAGTCTCCCTGGAGGCCCAGTATAGCTCCGAATCCTCCTAGAATTCCAACATTTCATAAGCAGCTAACTCCTTGCATTTAATATCTTTTTGCTTAAAATAGCTGAAGTGTTTTCTGCTATCAGCAAATGAACCCTTGACTAATACAGAATTTCTTATCAGAAATAATTGTAGATGCAATGCTCAAAGGTGAGCATTTGAGTTTGCTTTAAAAAGTAAGGATTTGATTTCCAGAAAGGGTTGAATATCAGTAGAACATGGCCTCCAATAGAGAAGCAGATACTTCAATTACCACCTATGGTCACCTGGAATGAAGTGCCCACTGAACATACAACTTTAATGAAATATGAGGTGGTTTCCAAAACATAGTATGATGAGCAAAAGGATGCAAGGACAATCAGGTAGATTAGTGACTTATAACTGCATCGGAGAATTACAAGAAGAAAAATAACATGAATTCTTTTTTTAAGCCAAAATCTAAGAACAGGGAGTTTCTCTGACTGCCTTAAAAGAATGTCTTATCTTTACTGTCACAGAGCTGATTCACTAAAAACTAAAAGAAGAATCTGATCCTTTAGTTGCTGAATTACAACAAAATCTTATGTTTCTTATGTGAAAATTAAAAACTTGATTAGGAAAGAATTTCCTAAATTCTTAAGGAAAGTTTAAGAATTTTCCTTAAATTCCCAAGGAAGGAGTAGGACCTTGAGAATTTAAAGGTGACAATTGGGAACATTCATATTTTTGAGTACATAGCACCCCCAAATCCTACCAAACCTCTCCAGTCAACAGAGATCCTCTGCCTGACTGATGAGGCTGGTTCTACCTTGTATGAAGACCTGATAATGTCCCCATTTGAGGCTATTACCTTGTAAAAACATGCCAATTCTTCTCCTTCCACACCCTATTTTCTTCCAGACCTGTATCAAATTTCATCATGTAGTCAGTTAATTACCTGAAACCTAAACTCATTTAGTCCTAAAATCATTTAGTGAGGATGTTGGAAACATCTTTGTATAGCATTATACATAAGAGAGAATGTAAGACTTAGGGAAATTGAAATGTTGAAGTGAACCTATCACATGCCACATCTCCCAGGCCCAAAGCACATTCCCTTCACAAAGACCTTGACAAATGAATTGTACAAGGAACACCTTATCCTCAGAACAGTTCCCCCTGAGGAACAACATCCTCAGAAAGTATAGTCATAGCTATCCTCTGAAGTCAGGAAGGAAAGTGGCATATGTTGCCATCAAAATGGAGTCCTTGATTTGAGTGAGAATGATGAGATCCAAATGTGGCAGAGACTTAACTATAAGAGCTAAGGAGAATAATGTTACCATAATAGGTATTATAGCTAAAGGAATCATCAGAATGAACTTTGACAATAACTAATTAATCAGAGGCTCCTTACGGTAGTGTTACAGGTTCCCCACCATGTTTCTTAAGGGTGCATGTCTCAACACTGAAGGCTGGGCAGTGAGCCAAGGCCATGGTGCCCAGCCAAGGAGAAGGTGCCCTGAGAACCTAAACATCCCAGAGAGTATCTGAGAACCTACCAAGAAAAACAGTCTCATCAGTTAAACACGGTAGGCAAGGGGCGAAAAAATTAGTTTAAAAGCAGTTTGGAGATGGGAGTGAGGGCAGATCTCTAAAGCCGTCCTGCTGCCATCCAGGAGTACCCTTTCTGTAAGTCTTAATAAACTCATCTATTTATCAAACTTGACTTGTTCAAGTCATTCTTTAGTCTCTTGGTTCCTTCCCAGTGTGAAGGGGACATTACAGTCCCAAGCTTTTCTCATAACACTTTTAACTAAAATAAATGGGCAGCCTAATTTGATCCACATAATGAAAACTTATAAATAGAGTGAAAAAAGGCCTGACTTCAGTCACCCTAGTAGAAAATCACAGCCTCATACAAGCCAGGTACAGATGTGGAAGACCTACAAAGATCACCTTCCAGTCTTCCCCAAACAATCCGTAGCTATTTACTGCAGTGACAATGCATTGAGGAAAGAGAAAGACACAGAACTTTTGAAGATTTTCAACACTGGGTCTGGGCTAAAATTAATCCTTGGGAACCCACCGTGATCCACTAGTCAGAGATTAAGCTCATGGTACTCATATGATAAATGAAATTTTGGCCCAAGTCCAGCACTCAGTCAGTTCAGTGTGTCTTCAAATTAATCCTGTAGTTATTTCTCCATTTCCTGGGTATATAGTGAAAATAGACATCCTTGACAGATGGAAAAGTCCCATCGATTATTTTCTGATTCATGGGGTGAGAATTGATATGAGTCATGATATGTGTGGTAACAATCCTCCAAGAGGGTCTCCAGTGACCCCTGCCTCCTGGTATTTACATCTTTGCATAGCACCCTTCCACACTGTGTCAAGATTCGTCTGCATGACAAGTGGAATGTCACATCCAAGGTTAGGTTATAAAGGACATTGTGGCTTCTGCCTTCTTCTTTCTCTTGGATCACTTGCCCTGAGGGAGCCAGCTGCCATGTCATGAGGAAACCAAACAGCCAATGGAGAGGCCCATGTAATAAGAAACTGAGGCTTCCTATCAACAGCCATGTAAGTGAGCCTGAATCATGGAAGTGGACTTTCCAGTACCAGTCAAGATTACAGATCCTGCTGTCCTGACTATAATCTCAGGAGAAACCCTGAACCAGAACCACCTAACTAAGCCAGCCCTGAATCCTTGACTTAGGAAAACCATTCTCAAGTCTAAGTACACATCAAATTAACCTTTTAAAACTCGATCACCTGAGGTCAGGAGTTTGAGATCAGCCTGGCCAACATGGCAAAACCCCATCTCTGCAAAAATACAAAAATTAGCCGGGTATGGGGGCACATGCCTGTACTCCCAGCTACTCAGGAGGCTGAGGCAGGAGAATCACTTGAACCTGGGAGGCAGAGGTTGCTGCAGTGAGCCAAGATCGAGCCACTGCACTCCAGCCTGGGCAACAGACAGAGACTTCATCTCACACAAAAAAAAAAAAAAAAAAAAAAAAGTCATAAATCAATCAATCACTAAATCACTTTAATGTACAAGAGCCAGTCTCCAGAGCCATGTCTAGGATAAAATGGAGAATTTCATTGTATGTTCTCTTTCTTCTTCCTTCTATCCCTCAAACACTCTTATTTGGGTGAAATAAGAACAAAATTAAAGCTAAGGTATAACTTTAAAAGATAGAGATTACACATGAATAGTCTGGGTGGAGAGAAGAGAGATGAAAACAGACAATGGCAGGTTCTTGCTCTGACTAGAAACTCTGTGTATTGGTTTAGACCTAAGGTGTCTCTCTGGATCTCACAAGAAATTATCTTTTTTCCCCCTGGTAGGCTGTCATCACACAGAGTTGCCCAACCACAGGAAAGATATAATTAACTCAAATGTCCACATCCTAGGAACAGCCACCTAATCTCAAACATTCATAATATATCACAGGCTTAATAGGTAAAGTCTGGAAAACCCATATTTGGGTCCTGATATACAAATATCCTATTACCTGTGTGGACACCAGTAGCTCCCAACCCAATACAAAAGGAAATCACCTAATTTCATCACCAATTATTGTGAAATTAGGGGATCATTTCAAAGGAATTCAACAAGAGAGGTCTGAGTAAGAGACATAGAAATAAAAATAGTTCCATAATAACTGAGTATGGATGAAGAAAAGATCAGGAATAACTCCAAATAAAATAATAACTCCTAGGAATTTAGCTTTCAGTATTTTTCCATTCCCCTGTCGCGCAAGATATTGCCCTTTCTGAAGTTCTCAGAGCCCTAATCCTACTCCCCACCCTCTACAAACCCGGGATACCATTCTGGCAGCCCTATGCTGGCTTGACAGAGCTCATATTCTAAATCCATCCATTCTCATTATCACCTTCACAAATTAGCTTTTCTTCATAATATTCCTTCAGCAATCTCTGTTGAAGGTGGCAATTGAAAATGGCTTATGATATTATCTTCCCACAAAATATCTTCATTTGATTGGCAACCTTCGATCCCTTGAAATGGAAGAGTAATTAATGGCGGAAATTTCTAGGACCAAATAGGTAGGATATGCATGTTTCTAACTATATTATACATGCCAAGACAGAGAAAATTTTTTTAAAAATATATTCTGTCATTCGCATGATTGAAAACTCTGATATCTACTCAACCACTTCCCCCTTTGGGAAGAAAGAATGTTGTAGAAGTCTGACACATGCCCTTCCCTTAGAGGTTACCTATTTTTTAGTTAAATATCTCCAGTAATAGAGATCTCGGAAATTACCAATATGACCCGTTCTGCGAACAACACCAAAAATTTGTAAAATTTCATGCTGATGCCAAATCATAACACCTGAATCTCCTACCCATTGATCCAGATTTTACCCTCTGAATGACAGTGATCAAGTCATATTATTTTATCTGACAAGATTTTAAATATGGAATGACAATTATAATGTCTTTTCCAGATTTATATGCTAAAATAGAATTATAACTCCTTCCTGCTAAGATATAATTTTATGCCCTTTTACCATCCCATTTGTTCTTGGATATGCTTTGGTTCTGTGTTTCCCAAATGCTGGTCTAGGAGTTTGCTTTTTAAACATAAATTTCTCGGTCCCATTCACATAGATTATGATTTAGTAATCTTGCAGTAGGACTAAATTAGAACTCTAGGTGAAGTCTAACTCACAGACCAAAGAATTAATCTCCCTGATTTCTATACTCTTATTGATAGAGTATACGATTGCATCTATCACAATTATTATTAGTAACCATTTTCAGGATACAAGGAAATAAAATCAACAGGGAGTATCTATACCACCTTTTTTTTTTTTTTTTTTTTTTGAGACAGCGTCTCACTCTGTCACCAGGCTGGAGTGTGGAGTGCAGTGGTGCAATCCTGGCCCACTGCAACCTCCACCTCCTGGGATCAAGCAATTCTCCTGCCTCAGCATCCTGAGTAGCTGGGATTATAGGCGCCCGCCACCACGCCCAGCTAATTTTTTGTATTTTTAGTAGAGACAGGGTTTCACCGTGTTAGCCAGGATGGTCTCGATCTCCTGACATCGTGATCCGCACACCTCAGCCTCCCAAAGTGCTGGGATTACAGGCGTCAGCCACCGCACCTGGCCTATACCATCTTCTTATTCCAATGTATTGGACAATTGTGTCAAGGTAAATTGCTCGTAAGTGATCACTATCATTGCTATTTTTATAGCATCTCAGCTTAGATTAAACCTGCATTTTAATTTTAGATTTTTCAAATCAAGAAATATTCCACTCCAGAATAGCAGACCTTCGGGTAAGACATCAAAACTTGCTAATTTATGCCCTTATGATTGTATGTATAACCCAATATAGGAAACCATGCCCATTCCATTCCTAATTGTTAATATTTTCCTCACATTTTTAAGTTAAGGCTCAAACTCACCAATATCAAGAAAACTTCTAGTGTTAGCTATGCTTTCCCTCCTCCTATAACTATTCAATAAATACTTGAATTAGTTTTAAGTGTTCATATGTAGTATCAGTGTTCCAAGATTAAAAAACAAAACAATATCTCATATCCTTTAGTAAATCTCCATGGCATTGGGTTTTGCAGTCTTCATGTGATTAGTAAATGAGGGATTATTCAAAGGAGGTGAATAACTTTCTCTATTGTATCATTTTCAAACCTTAATGTCTCCTGTTTTTCAAAAAATACTTATTAAATGTTTATTAGGTACCAGGTACTAGATACTGGGGAAAAGGAATAAATAAGATCTATGTTCCTTCCTTTACGGAGCTTAAAGCCTAGATTGGGAGACATGTATTGAACAAATAATCGCATAGAAGAATATGCAATGAAATTGTGATAGACATTGTGAAGGAAAAGTAGAATAAAAATTAGCTGGGCATGGTGGCGGGCGCCCATAATCCCAGCTTACAACAGGACCTGATTTAGATGACAACTGAGGGAAGACTTCTCTTAGAAATTCACTTTAGGAGAGACCTGAACGATGTGCGGTGCACAGCCAGGCAAAAGAGGACAAACTCCAATCAGAGGTAATAGTACAGGAGAAGATCCCAGGAAGTAAGGAGCTCAGTCCCTTTGGGAGAATGAAGAAAAAAAAAAAAATAAAGACATGTACTAAAGTAAAAGGGAAAATGGATCATGATGAAGCCAGACAGAAACTAGGTTATAGAGATACATAATTCAACTTAGAGGGGTTTAAATATACCTTAAATGTACTGCATGGACATTGAAGATCTGTAGTAGGGAATGTTGCATTTTTAAAAGATCACTCAGGGCTACTATATGCAGAATATGTTGCTGGAAATAAAAGAAAATAAAAATCAAATTTGGAAGCTTCACAGTAGATAGTTTAAGAGAGAAAAGATATTTGCTTAAGCTACTATGATGACAATGGATATCTGAAGAAGCAGGCAGACACATTGTAGAACTATACTCTAGGAAAACCAAAAAGGAGTAGAGCCTGACACACTTGCTTTTATACAATGCCTATAAACTGTATTTATTTTCTATAACTACTAAGACTCACTCTTTAATCATCCCTTTACCTTTTGTATAATTGTTCATTTCAGGTACAAGATCTGCTTAATTTTGCATAACAACTAGCACAGCATGATACCCATATTATAGTCTCTTAAATCCACTTGATTTAGGGGTATCTAACAAGATTCTGGAGTTCCTTATGAGTCAATATTATAAATATTTAAGAGGGTGTCATAAGGGACAGACTTTTATTTCAGTTCAAAAGAACAAACCTCACATTTTCTTTAAATGACATTTTCCCGAAAAAAGTTAATATCAGTTTTGAGTCTGGAATGTCAACCTCATCAAATTAACCTCAAATGTAAGCTTCCAGCAAACACCAATATTTTTAACCTCATTGAAACATATTTCTAAATTTGCAATGAAAATATAACTATATTTTAATGTTGCAAATTAGATTTCTATATGAGACATGCAGGACTTCCAAATATACATGAGGTCAACAGGATGAGACTGCAAAATAAAAATAGTCAAATTCTCACTGCATTTGAATATGGGAATATAAAACTCCTGGTCCTAAGCTGCACTCAGAAAAAAACACATGGGGGAAAAAAATAGTGTTAAAGTCAAATAACATCCTTTAACTTTAAAAATCATGCTAATTCTTCTCTCTCCTAGAATGTCAACCCAAAAAGAAACAATGTGAATTACATAGCTATAGATACTCTTTTTTTATGTTTTCTTTGCTAGAAAAGGAATAGATATTGAAGAAAGAAAAAAAGGTGGGGTGGGCAGGGGACTAAACAAGTGTAAAGAGATTCCAAAAGGATTTACATATATAAAGACAATATCTTCTCCATCAACCCACATTCCTATTTGAAGCTTGATCATTTTCTTCATGGCCAATAAGCACTAACCTAGTGTAAAATAGTATAGAAAAAGTATATGCATATAGGACGGATAAAATACAAGCTGCACCCATTTGGGGTATTTTTATCATTAACTGCTGTTGCATAAACTGAACATACAATGGGCTGTGACACTGGATAAATCATTTGTTTCCACTTGTTATTGATGACATTTCATAACTCATTTGGGGCTCTGCTTTGCCCCGTCACTCGTGAGTTATGAGGTTATCAATCATGACTGGGAATAAATGATTTATGTAAGTTGCCCTATTGTATATTTTAGGTACAGGATACAATAAAACACACACTATTGATTTCTAATATTGTTGCATTACGTTTATCATGTTTGTTTGTGAGACTGATCTTGCTTCATCTGCTGCAACAACTGAGAATGAAATGTTAAAATAACAAGAATATAAATAAAAATGATTCTGAGAGTTCCTGTTTTTAATTAATATCTTGATAAAGTCATTTTTAAGGTCTCCTTGAATTAAAAAACAAACTGTCTCAAGAAAGGGGAATTGTAGTTAAGGGCCTGAAATCAATCTATAAAGTTATGATTAAGAGACAGAAAATGACTGAGAGGAACACACTGAATAGGGCATATGCCATCCTGAGAACCTACTAAGATATTGAAGAAATGCTATTCACTGAGGAACATTTTGCATTATGTATTATGCTTGATAGGATCAATGGCTTAGGAACAGAGATAATATGAAAACATGAAACACTTCTTCCAGTCATTCTAAAGAGCAAAGGGGTAGGGTGGAGAGAAAGAAAAAACAAAAGATTATTTTTGGTGATAAAAGCTTAGCCCCTTTAACTCCACAAGGAATATATCATTTGAAAATAAACATAAAGTGACCCCCAAAATGCTCTCGTTTGAATAAATTTCTTTAGAAGGGGAAATGGCATCTTAAGAGATTAAAGAATTTTTCTTTTGCTTCCTTCCCATTCCTTCCAACAACTGACTTCCTTTTTATTTTCCTGATGAGCTTAAAACTATAAACATGGCTTTAAATATATATAGAACTACAAGAAAATGCAAAGAAATTTGAGGGAGGCAATCAAAAAACATACTGAAAATCAAACCTAGAATAAGAGCATCAAAAATCTAGGAACTTTCAGCTATTTGCAATTACGAGAGTAATTGCTATTTTAAAATGTTTTGCTTGTTCCAGGGAAACTCTGGTTCGTAAGCTGAAATTCAAGGAGTTTAAATCACAGCAAAATCTCTTAGAAGCTGATCAAGACTAAATACACAATCAAAACAACCCATTATCTACATATTTTAGTTGATTAAAATATGAGCAGCATTACATAGAAGATGTTGACCAGCTGTGTATCACCTCCAGTGATGAGGAAAAAAAAATTAATTTGAAGTACACAGAATTTAAGTCAGATATAAAGAAAATTTTCTTCTTCTAATAAAAAATTTCCTTCCTCTAATATAAAATTTATTTCTTCTATATATATTAACTATTGAGAATAGTTGTAGAATTTGGAAATTTATAGCAGCAGTTTCACTTTTTAGACTGGTTTAGATTTCTACTAATCTAATGATCAAGAGTTACATTCAAATTTCAAGTAATTTCTCACAGTCCTTTTCTCTGCTTAATTTTATGATAATACTAATTATTTTAAAGCTCTGTTTTAAAGAATAATGGGATAAGAGAAACGGGGATTTCAAAAGTGAAAGTTGGTAGTTTATGCAATTAGAAGATGACATATTTCTTGAAAAATCACAGCGGAGGTACATTGCTTAGCTAAAAACTCTTAGATTGGGTCCAATATTATTTTTAAATATTTCATTTTTAAATTTTCATTCTAGATAGTTTTCTAGGTGCTTTAATTAAGTATACAGTTGCTTAACCTAGGGCTCTTAAACAGGCTTTAAGAGAGTTCAGGAAATACCCCAAATTGTATTTAAAATGGTGTATGAGCTTGTGAAGAGTTAACAACATTATTAAGAATTTCAAACTTCATTCACAGTCCTAGTCTAAAAACAAACAATTTTTCTAAAAATTACAAATCACTTATTTGAGAGAAGCTTTCATTCACAAGTCCATTATTCACCTTTCCAAATTGATTATAAAATTAATTAAACCCTTACTTCAGCTTTATTCTTTGGTTGGTTGGTTGGTTTTTTTGTTTGTTTTTTACTAGGTTCTCCTCCCCACCCACCATCCCATGCGTTTGATTCATTTTGGCAGTTAGTCTGAGGAGGGAAGTACTTAAACTTAGTGGCTAATTTTGCTATCTTTCAAATGCCTTTAGATAAAAGCTTGGTTGTAAATTCAGTAGTTTGAAGTTGTAAACTAAAGTCACTTTTCTTTCTTGTGTGTAGATATCAATTAAATGTGATTTCCGTTCCCCCCACATATAATCAAAGAGTAGCTGCTATTTAAATGTGGCAACTCACATATGGGATCAGAACAGTCATCTAAAAAAAAAATTCTCCTCTTCTAAAACCAAGGGTACATCTTGTAACTTTTAATTTCAGATTTTACATTTTTAACAAAAAATGTGATGAGATGTGGGAAGATTATCATTTGATATCAGGAGGCAACATAGAGAAGTAGAAGTATAATTAGGAGGCATTCCTTGAAGATTTGTACAGTAACTAGTGTATGATCAATCCAGGATTTTTTTTTAATGAAAGAAAGAAAGAAAAAGAAACTGAGTATAAACCTGATTTAATCAATTTAGAGCTGTTTTAGTGAGCTTGTTCCCCAAGCATTAGAAATGCTGATGGAGCTACAGTGGATATATTTGGTTATGTACCAGGATGGGTATGAGGAGACCGGGGACTTAACCCCCAGCTCTGTTCCTGACTCATTGAGTGACCTCAAGCCAGTTAACCCATCTGTTGTTTTTCAGAAGGTGATGACTTGGAGACTGCCTAGCAATTGCTGTGCATTAATAGGGTGACAGTCAGAGGAAGACGCCTGGGGCAGGAGAGCTTCGGTGTGAGGAAATCAGCCTTTGCTGCTCTGCCCAATCATGTCAGCACTGCTGCTCTTTCAAGAGGCTTCCTGCCATTGTTGTTCCAGCTCCGGAATACCTCATGCTGCCAAAGCCACTGCAGGGGGTCACCTTTAACAGACAACCTCATTTTCAAATTTCCAGACCACTAAATCAAATGAACCAGAGCAAGGGTAATTTTTTTAAGGTTGCCAAAGAGATGCATGGAAAAGATGCCTATGTTGGGAAGAGAGAATTACAGAAGGAGTCTTGCTTTGTGATGATTGGAAAAGAAAGTAGATCAGAAAGCAGCTTCATGAGTTTGGGAATTATTTAGATTTTAAATTGTGTTTTGCTCTACATCAAATTGGATTAGAATCCTTGAATCTTATAAGACTTTGATCCAACCATTTCACATTTACAAATTAAAAAGGAGCTTTGGCAGTGAAAATTATATAAGATACAACCAGAAAGATTTGAGGAGCATACAGGCAGATTTAGCCTAAAAGCCCATCCACTTGTGCAATGTCTCATACCAACGTGTTTGTACTTTAAGAAAATGTACTCAATTTCTATTATGCTAAACATTCATCAATAGAGAGACATGCAGTCATAAAATTCTGTATATCTATCTTCCTTTATACTGTATCATGTTTCTAAATCCAATAATAACTTTTTTCACTGAAGCTGATGTCCTTAAATTTTGGGGTACTAAAAGTGTGGTATAAATGCTGACCAGTTAAAAAATTAAACAAATTTTAACCAAAGGTAAAATAAATGAGCCGTATCATATATTTGGTAATCTAACATGTCCATCACAACTAGACCCACACAAAATAACCATGCAGAAGTGAAAGCAATGAGCAAGAGAGAAAGGGGACTGCACTTTCAAATCTAAAATTTAGACAACCATAAATTTGGCTGTGTAGGAATGTTAAAGAGAAAAAGCAACTGATCACCTTATATGTAAGCAAGAAGGCTGAGCCAAATATCATCCATTCAAACTATATAGACTAAATCAGGCATCCCGTAAGAAAAAAAGGATCATCAGCTACACACAAGCACCATCCTTCAGCACAGTACATTCCAACAACTTCCCAAGGCTGCCATGTGTGTGCAGAGCTTCATCAATAGGGTTTGAAAAGCACTGCTATTCTCCAGATAGTGCTCACTACATGAACGCTAACATAAATCAAAAATACTGGCGTGTGTTCCCTGTAGTCACTACTGCTTAATCCGCTTACTCTAACCCTTCCCACCTTCACACAGGGTCATCTCTCCATGTAACCAACATATTCCCCCTTTCAAAAATCTTTTCTTTCATGAAGGTTTATAAATGCTTTATTGATTTTTCCACACAAGGCCAGTCAACTTCTGACTTCACAAGAAGAATCAAATAAAGTGGCTGAACCCACTGCAGTTTCCCTACCTACATAACTAAAGTACCACAACCCAGTAAATTTTTGTTCTACTAACTGACCTGGTCATAAAGCAGCCACCATCCGTCTAACTACAAAGTTAGAAGTCCACTGGCCAAATAACTTCATGGCTGGCATGATTATCAGTCTCAGTCCTATGTCTAGAAAAATAAAATCTTGACCCAGCTTTTAATATCTGATTAACTTTTCAACAAGCCAGTTAGTCAAAAAAGACTGTCATTGATATCACTTGCATTTTTAAACAAATTAGAATTGTTTATGAACTTCAAAATATTCTGGTTCCTAATTTAATTAATAATTTTTCAGCAATTTTTGAGAAAATGTTTATTTTTTATTATTATAGGTTATTAAAATAATATGCCACTTCGTAGGTTCCTTATTTTATTTATACTGTTTATACTATTCATCCGTAATTCCTTCTGTCTCCACTTTCTTTCTTTGAACACAACTAAGCATTTTGCATCTAAATTTTCCTGCTTCAAAAATTGAATAGCATAATTCAAAAAAATACACAAATCTACACTACACAAACACACACACACACACGTATACATATATACATATTTCTTCTCTACTTAAAAGTACAGAGGTTGATAAAACTGTCATTGGCATTAGTAAGGTTTCACAGAAAATAAAAAGTGGGAACAATTAATAAAAGTGGCATTTTTAAAATTACATCAAATTTTAAACCAGGGAAGATTAATAAACATTAAAAATTTGCTCTTATAATTTATCTCCTTAAAAGGTATTTTTTATTTTTTAACGTTTTTCTTTTAATGTGATTTATACACAAGAAAACTCCTCCATGTTACACAGACACTTTGATGAGTTTTGAAAAAATGTATACACACATGTAAACATCACGAGAATCATGAACCAGAACATTCCCTGCACCCTGAAGTTTTGTCTCATGTGTCTCTTTGTCATCAATTCACTCCTCCCACCCTGACCCTTGGCAACCAATGATCTGCTTTCTGTTATTACAATATTTCTTTTTCTAGAATTTCACATAAATGGAATCATACAGTATGCAATCCTTTGTGTCCAGCTTTTTTTAACTCAGTGTAAAGCTTTTGGGATTCATCCATGCTGTTGGCTGTATAAGTAGTTCACTCATTTTCATTGCCAAGAAGTATTTCATTATATGAATATAACACAATTTGTTCCATCCATTCACATATAAGTTGTTTACAGCTGTTGACCATTATAAATAAAGCTGCTATGAACATTTGAGTATAAATGTTTATATTGATATATATGTTCATATCTCTTGAGTAAATGCCTAGCAGTGGAATTTCTGGGCTATATGTAAGTGTATGTTCAATTTTATAAGAAATTACCAAACTGTTTTCTATAGTCCTTCTGCCATTTTGTCTTCCCACAGCAATGAATGAGATATATAGCTGATCTGTACTTTCACCAACACTTGGTAGAGTCAGTCTTTTCAATTTAGCAAATCTGGTAGTAGTAATATCTCATTTTATTGAGGTGTAATTTACATAATTTACAGCTTAATAATTTTTAGTTAATTTATACGCCATGGAATTATCATCAATATTCAATTTTAGAACAGTTTCATCACCTCAAAAGTTTCCTTATATTTGTTTGCAATCAATCCCCACTCCCACCACTAGCCCCAGGCAAACATTAATCTCCTTTATCTTTATATAGTTTTGAAATTTCTAAACATTTCTTATAAATAAAATCATATAAGGTGTAGTCCTTTGTATCTGGCTACTTTGACTTAGCATAATGTGTGTGAGGTCTGTTTATGATGTAGCATGTATCAATAGTCTATTCCATTTTATTTTGAATTATATTTAAATATATGTATATACCATATTTTATTTATTCATTCACCAATTGGTACACATTTGGATTATTTCAGTGTAAGGTCTTTACGAATAATGCTGCTACAGGCTGAGTAACCTTTATCATAAAATGCTTGGGCCCAGAAGTATTTTGGATTTTGGACTTAGGATTTTTTTCAGATTTTGTAATATTTGCATTATTTACTGGTTCAGCATCCCTAATTTGAAATCTAAAATGCTTAAATTAGTATTTCCTTAAAGTATCATGTCAACACTCAAAAAGTTAAAATTTTGGAACATTTTGGACTTCAGACTTTTGGATTATGAATGCTCAACCTGTACAAACAGTTACATACAAGTGTTTGTGTGAACCTGTTTTCATTTATCCTGAGAGGCTAACTAGGAGTAAAATTGCTGGGTCATATGGTAAAGGTCATTTTGACTTTTTAATAAACTGCCTAACTGTTTTCCATTTCCAACCACAATGTATAAGGGTCTCAATTGCTCCACATCATCACTAACCCAGGCATTTTCAGTCTTGGGTTACAACTCTTCTATTAAGTGTGTAATGATATCACACTGTGGTTCTAATTTGCATTTCAGTAATGACTAACGATATCGAGCATCTTTCATGTGCTTGTTAGCCAATCATATTTGTGTTGTTATTACAATGTATATTTAAATATTTATATTCCACATTGTATTATAAAACATAACATCATTTTATACCCCATAAATATATACAATTATAATTTGTCAATTAATTAAAAATAAAAACTAAACAAATAAAATAACATCCATTTTTTAAATTGGATTGTCACCTTTTTAATATATTTTTGATAGAAGTCCTTTATTAGATATAGAACTTGCAAATATTTTCTCTAATATGGCTTGACTTTTGAAGGACAAAATATTTTAATTTTGTTAAAATCAAATTTATTGATTTTGTTATGTATGAATCAGACTTTTGGTGTCATATCTAAGAAATCATTGCTTAACCCAGAATTTCTTAATAGTGGAACTAAGTTAAATGCCTCCTTTAAAAAAAATCAACATTCTTTTAAGGAATATAACAGAATTCAGAGTCTCCACAACATTATATTCAAAAAACCATAAATTCAAAAAACATTATATTCAAAAAAATCGAATTTAATTTGACATAGGAAGAATAAAAAAAATGTGATCCATTTTCAAGGGAAGGGAGTAGCAGTGAGACCAATTCTGAGATGATCTAGATATTGGAATTTTCAGGCAAGTTTAAACAAACAATTATATCAATGATCTAAAGGAAAATCTGCCTGCAATGAAGGAAAATAGAAAAAATACTTTTTATCAAATATGTTTTTAATTGACAAGTAAAAATTACACATATTTGTAATTTTTACAAATTACAAATGCATACAACATGGTGATTTGGTATAGATATACATTGTGGAGTAGCTAAATCAAGATAATTAACATACGTATCACCTTACATACTTATCACTTTTTTTTGGTGAGGACAGTTAAAATTTACCTTCTTAGCAATTTTCAAATATACAATATATGGTTATTAACTGTAGTCATCATGACGTAAAATACATTTCTTGAAATTATTCCCTCTGTCTAAGTGGAATTTTGTGACCTTTTACCAACAGCTCCCCAACCACTCTCACCAGCCTCAAGTAAACAATCACCACTTTACTCTCTGTCTCTATGAGGTTGACTTTTTTACATTCCACCTATAAGTTAGTGTGGATATATCTTTATGTGCTTGGCTTATTTCACTTAACATAATATCTTCCAGGTTCATCCACATTTTTGCAAATGACAGGATTTCCTTCTCTTTAAGGCTGAATAATATTCCACTGTGTGTACATAATACTTTTCTTTACCCATTCATCAGTTAATGAACACTAAGTTTGATTCTGTATCTTGGCTATTGTAAATAATGTTCCAGTGAGCACTAGAGTGCAGATTTCTCTTTAATATACTTATTTCATAATCTTCGGATAAATACCCAATAGTGGGATTGCTAGATCATAGAGTAGTTTTATTTTTAATTTTTTAGGAGCCTCAATACTGTTTTCCAGAAAGGCTGTACTAGTTTACATTCCCACCACCAACAGCATGCATGGTTCCCTTTTTGCCACATTCTTGCTGACACTGTTTATCTTTCATCTTTTTGATAGTAGCCTTTCTGACAGGTGTGAGTGATGTCTCATTGTGGTTTTAATTTGCATTTCCATGATTATTAGTGATGCTGAGCATTTTTTCATACATCTATTGGCCACTTGTATGTCTTCTTTTGAGAAATATCTATTCGAGTTCTTTGTCAATTTTTTAATCTGAATATTTGTTTTCTTGCTATTGACTTGAGTTCCTTATATACTTTGTATATTAACACCTTAACAGATGTATGGTTTGCAAGTATTTTCTCTCATTCTGTAGGTTTTTCTCTTTAATTTGTTGATTATTTCCTTAGCTGTGCAGAAGATTTTTAGTTTTATGTAATCCTTTGTTTTGTTGCCTGTGTTTTTAGGGTTATATCCAAGAAAATATCTGCCCAGACCAACATCATGGAGTTTTTCCACTGTTTTCTTGTGGAAACAAAAACTAGTTTTAGTTTCAGATCTTATGTTTAATTCCTTAGTCAATTTTAGTTGATATTTTTAGATGCTGTAAGATAAGAATCCAATTTCATTCTTCTGCATGTGGATACCCAGTTCTCACAGCACTATGTATTCATTTATTGAAGACATTCTCATTTCCCCATTGTGTGCTCTTGGCACTTTTTTGAAGATCTGTTAACAATAGATTTGTGGATTTATTTCCAGGTTCTCTAAATTCTTCCATTGGTCTATGTGCTGTTTTCGTACTAGTACCATGCTATTTTGATTTCTATAGCTTTGTAGTACATTTTGAAATCAGTTAGTGTGATGCCTCTGGTTTTGTTCTTTTTACTAAAGATTGCTTTGGCTATTTGTGGCCTTTTGTAGTTCAATACAAATTTTAGAAGTTTTTTTTCTATTTCTGTGAAAAGTATCTTTGACTTTCGATAGTGATTGCCTTGAATTTGCAGATCATTTGGGGTTGTATGAACATTTTAACAAGAGCAATTCTTCCAATCCATGAACATTGAATATATTTCCATTTATTTGTGTCTCATTCAACGTTTTTCATCAATGTTTTATAATTTTCAGTGTACAGATCTTCACTGGCTTAGTTAAGTTTATTCCTAAGTATGTTATTTTTGTAGCTATTGTAAATGGGATTTTTCTTTATTTCTTTTTCAAATAGTTTGTTGTCAGTGAACAGAAATACTACTCATTCTCATGTGTTGATTTTGTATCTTGCAACTTTACTGTAATCACTTACTAGCTCTACGAATTTTGGTGGGGAGTCCTTAGGGTTTATTATACATAGGATCATGTGGTCCGCAGAAACAATTTAACTTCTTTCTTTCCAATCTGGATGTCTTTTATCCTGAAGAATTTTCTCTGTGGTCTTAATATGAAAGGGTGTTCTGCTGCTGTTGAGCAGAATGATCTGCTCAGGCCATTGGTATACAGAGTAGTTCAAGTCCAATGTTTCCATATATATATATATATATATGGAAACATATATATATATAGAAACATATATATATATATATATATATATATACACACACACACACACACAATTATTATATCTTCTTCTTTTTTTAGTATACTTTAAGTTTTAGGGTACATGTGCACAACGTGCAGGTTAGTTAAATATGTATACATGTGCCACGTTGGTGTGCTGCACCCAGTAACTCGTCATTTAACATTAGGTATATTTCCAAATGCTATCCCTCCCTGCTCCCCCCACCCCACAACAGGCCCCAGTGTGTGATGTTCCTCTTCCTGTGTCCATGTGTTCTCATTGTTCAATTCCCATCTATGAGTGAGAACATGCAGTGTTTGGTTTTTTGTCCTTGCGATAGCTTGCTGAGAATGATGGTTTCCAGCTTCATCCATGTCCCTACAAAGGACAGGAACTCATCATTTTTTATGGCTGCATAGTATTCCATGGTGTATGTGTGCCACATTTTCTTAATCCAGTCTATCACTGTTGGACATTTGGCTTGGTTCCAAGTCTTTGCTATTGTGAATAGTGCCGCAATAAACATACAAGTGCATGTGTCTTTATAGCAGCACAATCAGTTATTAAATAGGGAATCCTTTCCCCATTTCTTGTTTTTGTCAGGTTTGTCAAAGATCAGATGGTTGTAGATATGCAGCATTATTCCTGAGGACTCTCTTCTGTTCCACTGGTCTATATCCCTGTTTTGGTACCAGTACCGTGCTGTTGTGGTTACTGTAGCTTTGTAGTATAGTTTGAAGTCAGGTAGCGTGATGCCTCCAGCTTTGTTCTTTTGGTTTAGGATTGACTTGGCAATGCGGGCTCTTTTTTGGTTCCATATGAACTTTAAAGTAGTTTTTTCCAATTCTGTGAAGAAAGTCATTGGTAGCTTGATGGGGATGGCATTGAATCTATAAATTACCTTGGGCAGTATGGCCATTTTCACGATATTGATTCTTCCTACCCATGAGCATGGAATGTTCTTCCATTTGTTTGTATCCTCTTTTATTTCATTGAGAAGTGGTTTGTAGTTCTCCTTGAAGAGGTCCTTCACATCCCTTGTAAGTTGGATTCCTAGGTATTTTATTCTCTTTGAAGCAATTGTGAATGGGAGTTCACTCATGACTTGGCCCTCTGTCTGTTATTAGTGTATAAGAATGCTTGTGATTTTTGCACGATTTTGAAAAGTCTTTACCATTATATAACAAAATTTTTGTCTCATTTTAGTTTTTGACTTACAGTCTATTTTATCGGCTGTAAGTAAAGTGGCCTCTGCTCTCTTTTGGTTTCCAATTGCATCAGATATGTTTTTCCATTCTTTCACTTTCACACAATCTATGTGTCTCCTTACTGGTGAAGTGAGTCTTTTGGAGGCAGCATATAGTTAGACCTTGAGGTTTCTTTGTTTGTTTGTTTTGTTTTTGTTTTTGTTTTCACTCAGCCACTTTATGTCTTTTGATTACAGAATTGAATCCATTTACCTTCAAGGTAATTATTGATGGGTAAAGATTTACTAATGCTATTTTGTTAATTTGTTCTGGTTGCTTTGTAGATCTTTTATTTTTCTTCCTCTCTGCTGTTTTCTTTTGAGTTTAGAAGATTTTCTCTAGTGACAGACTTTGATTCCTTACTTTTTATCTTTGATGTGTCTACTATAGGTTTTTGTTTTGCAGTTACCATGAAGCTTACATAAACATCTTATAGCTACAACAGGCTATTTTAAGCTGATAACAACTTAACTTTGATCACATAAAACAACAACACTTTTACTCCATCTTCATGCACACATTTTATGTTTTTGATATCACAATTCACATCGTTTTATATTGTGTAACCGTTGACAAATTATAGCTATTAATATTTTAACAGTTTGTCTTTTAACTTTTACACCAAAGATATAAGTGATTTACACACTATACAGTACTAGAGTATTCTGAATTTGACTTATTTTTATCAGTGAGTTTTATACTTTTTTTTTTTGTATTACCAATTAATGTCCTTTTCTTCCAGCTTGAAGAACTTTTTTTTTTTTTGAGACGGAGTCTCACTCTGTCACCCAGGCTGCAGTGCAGTGGCGCAATCTTGGCTCACTGCAACGTCCACCTCCCAGGTTCAAGCGATTCTCCTGCCTCAGCTCCCCGAGTAGCTGGGATTACAGGCGAGTGCCACCATGCCCAGCTAATTTTTTGTATTTTTAGTAGAGATGGCGTTTCACCATGTTAGCCAGGATGGTCTCAACCTCCTGATCTTGTGATCTGCCTGCCTTGGCCTCCCAAAGTGCTGGGATTACAGGCGTGAGCCACCGTGCCTGGCCTGAAGAACATTTTTTAAGCATTTCTTGTAAGACAGATCTGCTGGCAATGAATTCTTTCAGCTTTTCTTTGTCTAGGAAAGCCCTTACCTCTCTTTCATTTCTGAAGGACAACTTTTCCAGGCACAGTATATTTGGTTAGCAGGGTTTTTTTTTTCCTAGCACTTTGAATGTATCATCCCACTCTCTCCTCATCTGTTAAGTTTTTCCTATAAAATCCACTGCTAAAAATCTTGAAAGTCCCTTATATGTTACTTGCTTTCTCTTCTTTTGCTGCTTTTAGGATCCTCTCCTTTTCATATTTGACAATTTTGTTATATAATATGTCTTGATGTAGTCTTTTTGGGGTTGAGTCTGCCTGGAGACATTTGACCTTCCAGTACCTGGTAATAGATATATAGATAAATAGATGTCTATTTCCAGGTACAGGATTTATTTCCAGGTACAGGAAAGAGATATGCCTATATATCTATATACATATAGATATAGATACATCTATTTCCAGGTACAGGAAGGTCAAATGTGTGTGTATGTATATATACATATATACATACACACACACACACATATATATATACATATATATACACATATATATACACATTTGAAAGACACATATATATATATATCTTTCCCAAAATCTAAAAAGTTTTCACCTATTCCTTCTTTAAGCTGTATCCATTTATCTTTTTCTTCTCTTTCATTAACTTTTAAAACTCAAATGTTTGCTATTTTCATACTATCCCATAAATCCCATAAGCTTTCTTCATTCTTTTTGATCTTCTTTTCTCTCCTCTGATTATATATCTTCAAATATCTGGCCTTTGAGTTCACAGAATATTTCTCCTGCTTGATTGAGTCTGCTGCTGATGCTCTCTATTGCATTTTTTTACTTTATTCATTGTATTTTTAAGCTCTTGAGTTCCTTTTTTAAAATAACTTTAATCTCTCTGTTAAATTTCTCATTTGATCATTTATTGTTTCCCTAATTTCACTGAATTGTTTCTCTGTATTTTCTTGTAGTTCACTGAGCTTCCTTAAAAGAACTATTTTGAATTCTTCCTCACCCATTTCATATATCTCCATTTCTTTGTGGTTAACTACTGGGAGATTATTGTGTTCTTTTGGCAATGCTATATCTTTTTGGTTTTTCATGTTTCTTGCTGCTTTATATTGATGTCTGTGCATTTGATAGAGCAGTAACCACTTGCAGTCTTTACAGGCTAGCTCTCCTATGGAGAGACCTTCCCCTTTGGGGAGTATGAGGGCACTTGCTGGGTGGAGTGCAGCAGTTCTGGTACCAGTGTGGGTATCAGCTGTGTAGTCTCTGTGCAGCTCTGTCAGCTGAAGTCAGTGTTGATAAATATTGCAGGGATCCTCAGCAGCCAATATGTGGATATTTGCAGTGATAGCAAGTGCTATTGGGGTCTTTGGTGGTGATGGCTGCTAAGGTCATCACAATTTCTTTTTCTCTCACCAGGGAAGTTGTGGTCAGGGGATCCCTCTTGGTACTATGCCTGGATCATAAGCTTGCTAGCAGTCACGGTGGAACTGGTGTCTTATGAATGGCACCCCTGCAAGAGCCACAGAGCTGAGGTCTGAAGCTCAGGCATGAATGGAGGAATTATGACTCTGGGATTGAGCAAGTAATGGCATTGATAACCAGGGAACAGGCATCTCCACTGCCACATTGGTAACTGAATGTAAGGTACAGATGCTTGTGAAGCAGCCTGGAAAGCCAAGAATGGAAGCACATATATGAACAAAGTTACAGTGGCTCCAGGGTTAGGGTGAGGTCTAGCTCTCTATGGCAGCTGAGTCAGTACCTGAGGCTAAGGCACCTGTATTGCTGCCTTGGCAACCGTAGCTGAAGCACAGATGCTTATGAAGTAGCCAGGTAGTCAAAATGTATGCACATAGATGTGTGCACAATTAGTGCAACTCCAGGGTCAAGGCAGGGTCTAGCTCTCTGTAGTAGCTAGGCTGGCACCCAGGACATGGTCAGGTGCATCAGGGCTTGGCTCTAGGGTGTAGAGGGTGAAATAGCTCAATATGACAATGGTCCCAGTGTCTAAGCTGTGAGTGGATTCAGTGTAGCTGCAGAACCCTGGTCTGGAGTGTGAGCACTTGCAGAACAGCCATGGTCTAGCATCAAAGCACACATGGGATGAGAGAGGCAGTGACTCCTTTCCCAAAGCAGCTCAACAGTGGCCACTTCTTGGGCAGGAAAGGGATGTGCAACCATCATCTCCCTTTTGGGGGTTCCCAGTAGGAATAGCTCTTGGTTACCTGAGTGGCAAGACATCCTTGTGTTCTTAGTGGAGTAGGCTGATGGGGACCATGGTGGTTCCCACCCTGTAGCTAATAGTGATAATCTGCTTTTCTATTCTTTGCTCCTAGCTGTTTCCTGGTATCTCAGGTATGCCAGTCTCATTTTTATTCTTTGCTCCTAGCTGTTTCCTGGTATCTCAGGTATGCCAGTCTCATTTTTATTCTTTGCTCCTAGCTGTTTCCTGGTATCTCAGGTATGCCAGTCTCATCAACAATACTTTCTATGTGGATATTCTCCTTTGTTGTTGTTTGTTTATTTGTTCCACTCTATTGCCTCAGATCTTTTAATGTGAACTTGAGCCTCTTTGGGCTATTTCTGTTTGTGAATAGCTGTCTATATTTGGTTTTGTGTGGGGGTATGAAGGCTAGTATCCCCTACTCTGCCATCTGGGTGACATCACTCAAGAAATTATACTTTTAAAATTGAAAATTTAAAACTGAAAAGCACAAAATCTGATTTTAAAATGTTACTAGAGGCTGGGCACAGTGGCTCACACCTGTAATCTCAGCACTTTGGGAGTCCGAGGCGGGCAGATGACGAGATCAGGAGTTCAAGAGCAGCCTGGCCAATATGGTGAAACCCCATCTCTACTAAAAATACAAAAATAAAAAAATGAATAAATAAATAAATAATAAAGCTGGGCATGGTGTCACATGCCTGTAGTCCCAGCTACTTGGGAGGCTGAGGCAGGAGAATCACTTGAACCTGGGAGGTGGAGGTTGCAGGGAGCCAAGATCACGCCACTGCACTCCAGCCTGGGCAACAGAGCGACACTCCATCTCAAAAACAAACAAATAAAAAAAAGTTAATAGATAGGCTTATAAGAAGAGTAGAGATGTCAGTGGAAAGAGTGAACCTGCAGATAAGACAATAGAAACTATCCAAATGAAGAAGAAAGAGGGAAAAAAGATTGAAAACAGATGGAACAACACTTCAGGGACCTGTGGAATACTAACAAAATGTCTAACTGGGACGGTATGGTTTGGATGTTATGTCTCCTCCAAATCTCATATTGAAATGTGACCTCCAGTGTTGGAGGTGGGCCTATTGGGAGGTGTTTGGGTCATGGAGTCAGATCAATCATGAATTGCTTGGTGCTTTCCTCATGGTAGAGTTCTCACTCTATAAGCTTATGTGAGATCTGGTTGTTTAAGAGCCAGGCACCTACCCCATTTTCTCTTGCTCCCTCTCTCATCACATGATATGCCAGCTCCCCTTCACCTTCTGCAATGATTGTAAGCTTCCTGAGACCCTAACCAGAAGCAGATGCCAGCACTATGCTTTGTGCACAGCCTACAAAACCATGATTCCAATAAACCTCTTTTTAAAATAAATTATCCAGTCTCAGATATTTCTTTATAGCAATGCAAAACTGACTAACACAAGGGTTATGTGGAGTCCCAGAAAGAGAAGAGGGAATGGTAGAGATAATATATTTGAAAAAATATTGGCCAAAAACTTCCTAAATTTGTGAAAAACATAAATATTCAAATTCAATTATTTCAACATACCAAACAGAATAAATATGAAATTAATAATGCATAGGCATACATAGTCAAACTGGTGGGAACCAAATACAAAGATAAATTCTTAAAAACAGAAGAAACAACACATTGGATACAGAATTCAAATAACTGCCGTGTTTCATCAGAAACAAAAACTGCCTAAGAAAGTAGAACATATTTAAAGTGCATAAAGAAAAAAAAAAACTGTCAAACTGAACTTTTATATGCAGAAAAAAAATCCTTCAAAAATACAGGCAAAATAAAAACACTTTTAGATAAGAGAAGACTAGGAGTATTTATTACTAGAAAGACCTACATTGCCAGAAATGCTAAAGAAAGTTCTTCAGGCTGAAGGAAAATAATACTAGATAGAAACTTGGATCTTTAGGAAGGAATGAGGAAAATGATAAATATCTGGGTAAATACAAAAGACTACTTTTTCGTTTTAATTTATTTATCACATATTGTTTAAATCTGTGTTTAAACTGTAGGGTTTATAACATATGCAGATAAATGACATACGAAAATTACAGAATAAAAGAAGGTGGGAATTGGTAAAGGGGCCTATATAGTTGAAACATTTCTATTATGTTGGTGCAAAACCAATGGCAAAACAACAATCACTTTTGCACCAACCTAATACATTTTACTTTGATTTAAAAAAATTAACACTAATTAAAGTGTGGAAAATTATGATTGTATATTGTAACACCTGTAGTAACCACTAAAATACATATAACACAAAAGAGCATAGCCAAAAAGCCAAGTATAAAACATAATTCTAAAAATTCTAAACATATTTGTGAAATCTAGAATAAGACAGCAAAGGAGAAAAAAAGAAATGAAAAACAGAGAAAGAAAAAGCAAAAATAAAATTTTTACATAATAGACCTAAATAAAAAAATATTAATAATTACATTAACAATAAGTGGATTAATAATTCCAATTTAAAAGTAGAGATCATCAGACATTAAAAAAGCAAGACTCTATGTTATTTGCATAAGATGGATTTTAAATATAAAGACATGGATAGTTTAAATATATGGAAAAAGAAATTGAAACAGTAATTATAGCATTGCTAGATTGTCTATCATAGCAGCTTTATTTATAATAGAGCAAAACTAGAAAGCCAACATTCTGTCAACAGAGAACTGGATAAACAAACCAAGATTCATTCATACAATGGAATAATACCTGGCAATAAAAAATAACTAACTATTGATAATATCCAATAGCATGGATACATCTCAAAAACATTGTGCTGAGGGAAAGAAGCTTCACACAAAACAGAACATACTGTTTGATTCAATTTATATTCAGCTCTAGAACAGGAAAAACTAACTAGTGGTAAAAAATATCAAAACAGTGGGGCCGGGTGCAGTGGCTCATGTCTGTAATCCCAGCACTTGGGGAGGCCAAGGCCGGCAGATCACTTGAGGTCAGGAGTTTGGGACCAGCCTGGCCAACATAGCAAACCCCCTCTCTACTAAAAATACAAAAAAAAAAAAAAAAAAAAAAAAAAAAGCCAGTTGTGGTGGTGTGCATCTGTAATCCCAGCTACTGGGAAGGCTGAGGCAGAAGAATCACTTGAACCCGGGAGACAGAGGTTACAGTGAGCTGAGATCACGTCACTGCACTCCAGCCTGAGTGACATAGTGAGACTTCATCTCAAAAAAAAAAAAATGTGGTTATTTCTGGGTGGTTTGGGGCAAGAATTGACTGAGAAGGATCATGAGAGAATTTTCTGGGGAGATGGTAGTATTCTGTAGCAAAGTCACGGTGGTGGTTACACAGGTAGATGGAACTGTCAAAACTTGATGAAAGTACACTTTTTATAAGTATATTTCATTGCATGCAAATTTTACATCAAAAGAAAAAATGTAAAAAATATTGAATACTCCTTTGTGATATGCATGCTAAGTGTTCAGGGGAAAGTGTATTAATATCTGCACTTTCATTGGAAATGCAACCAAAAATAGATATATTGAGGAATGTAGGAATAACTAGATGAATAGATATGCAACAAAGCAATATAGTAAAATGTTAATAGCAGAATCCAGATAGTAGTTTATACAATCATCACTGTAAGATTTTTCAGCTTTTCCATGTTTACAATTTTTCTTACCAAAAGTTGAAAAAAAAATACGTATTAAAATAAAAGGAGTAGAAATGAGGGACAGAAAAACACAAGCAGCTTAACCGTGTCTGGTTCATTCTTTAAAATAAAGATACAAAATGTCTGGAAGGAAACAGAGCAAAACATTATGATTTTAAGGATTACAGTGCAAGGATCCCACTAATACTTCTCTGTATGCTTGAAATATTTCAAAATTTAATTTTTTATAGAATATAAGTAGAAAAAAATACAATGCAGAAGATTATAAAGGGCAATGGACTGAGTCACAGAACCCTGGCACTTTCATCTCCACTCAGTTATTGACCGTGGGTCTGGTACAAATGACAAAAAAAGTCTCTGGTCCTCAGTTTCCTCATTTGTAAAGTAAGAAGTTTGCACTGGGTGATCTTTTACAGATTCATTTGATTTCTACAATTCTATAAATCTAAAACAGACAAAAGTAATAAAAAGTGCAATTTTAAGAAATTCCTCCTGAGAAAATGTTAAGCATGATCCAAAAATATTCAAAAAGTTAATTATGCAAGTGGTCAAGGAATTAATATGTGCATAAGAGAACTATGACCTTTATGCTTTTATTCAACCTAAACTCAATAAAGTAATATATTAGTAGAGGGGAAATCATATCACTAAAAACCCCAAAGCCAGGAAAAGGCAGCAAATTTAGTTTTTAAGATCTGATTCATGATATTTATTCTTCCAATAACATGGGGCCTTCAGAACTGCATTTTAAGCCTTATTTCTTCATTCCTATAAAATGAGGGTGAGAATCAATGACCATTAAGGATGCCGTCAACGCTAAGATTCTGTTATTATAATTCTATTTGGATTAGATATAAGTGAAAGTGTATTATTAAACTTTTACCTATCCTCCCATAACACTATCACTTCTACCTAACCATCATAGTTAGCAGGAAGGTGAAGAATTCACTCTGTAAAATCTTTGCTAAATATTGTGACTTTTTGAGAGCCACAGCTGAGTACGGTCATTAACAATCCCTACCAGACAGCTACCCAGAATTGATGTTGCTAATGTATTGTACACAGTAGACAAATTAATCTCACAGAACTATTGGGATTACAATTTCAATGTAGCATTTAGAGATGTAAACACAGGGTATTCCTGGAAAGCACACTGCATGCTGCCATGTTGCCTATTATAGCATCATCTCTTGGGAGCCAACATCATATCACAATAGTACATAAAAAGGGCATGCAGACATCATTGTAACAAAGAAAAGACAGAGATGGAAAAGAGAAACTGATGTACTTAATATCCATAAGTACCTGCTACTTGGTAATTCCATATCCCTTTATGGAATTGACCCTACTGAGCTTAAAACACTGTTTTTGGTTATCAACTAAGTTGGACATAAAAGAACTGTCTTTCTGGCCACAAGATAAAACTTTTATCCTCAAAAAAAAAAAAAAAAACGGTGAGAAGAGGGGGAGATTTTTATCATAGTAAAGATGTTGCAGACAAGTTGCATAGATAAACTTGAAGAGATAAAAATCTCTTATCTGCAACATCTTTACAATTATATTCTTTAGGAAAGAACGTCTGAAATGTAACAACTACTGCTACTTCTCAAAATAGATAAACAGGCAGATTTTCCCCCTTAGAGTGAGGCTATTTCCAATCATTTCTTATTTTGTGAACATCTTATTTTGAGTCAAAAGTTAGTTACTAAATCCCATTTTGTAGGGCAACATTTCTTACCTGACAAAAAAGTCTTTAGAGTTTTTAACATCATCTCCTTTATCAAAAATTAAAATATATGTCCATGAAGAAATGTATCTGCTTTGAAATACAATGCTGTATTGAAGCTTTTGCTTTTTAATTAGATTGAGAGCACTTTCCTGTTTCTCTTCCCTCTTTATCACTTTCTTTAGTTCATCTTTCTTTATTCTTGTTATTTGATTTTTCCCCTTCTTATACCTAATGTGTATTATTTCTCAATGCCCTAATGTGGTTAACACTTAAGTCTTTCTCAATGAGGTCTAAAAGGAAATATGTCCTATTGGATTCTGTCTTGCCAAAAAGCTTTTGTTAGGGAAGCTAAGGAAGAAATAAAGGGACATAAAGAAACAAATCTATTTTTGTCATTATGTATCTGAAAGTAACCTGCCAACTAGAAGAAAACTTGCTTAGTGTTATAGTATAACTAATTATGCTTAAGTTTAAACTGGAATCTCTAATGTTCAAATAAACCAGTATTATGCCATAGAGACATCCTTCATTTTTAAGAATGGATATAAGCTTCAGGTAGTTGTAAAGTCCACTTACCCATTTTAAACCATAGTTTTATATATGCTGTGAAACCAGAGCTCCATGAAGAATTAATACTGGCTACATGCAATAGATAACATTAGGCAACAATAAGAGGAGTTTCAGGTTTTTGCTTAATTTTATGCATGGCCATCTCTACCAAGTCTAAAGGCATTTCTATAATTTTTGGATGCACCTCTGTATCACTGTTTTTAAACCCCGAGAGACATACATTAGAAAATAGACATTAACTAGAATGACTCAGGGGTAAAATATCTTTTATGAAATATCTTTTTTGTTGTTATTTCTCAAGGAGCAGTCAAAGTCAAATGAGTTGGATCTCCCATAGTCAGGCTGTAAAAGTATAAAAAATAATGTTATTATTTCTGTGGCTTATTTTTCTTTTTCTGAGAGGAAAGGAGGACAAATGCTTTGTATTTCTCATGTAGCTTAAAGCTGGGGATGGTGGTGGGGTCTGGAGATGGATGGAGAACAGCACGGTGACTTCTTTTTAGGAATATTTTGAAGATCATGAGATTTCTGGATTACTCAGAGAAGAGATGAAACTATTGCTTATCTCCTATCCCCACGTCTCATAGGCAAATCCACTTTAAAGAAAGATATTCTGGTTCCTCTAATATGTCAGTGTGTAGGAGATGAGTTCCATTATTCCACACAGAGCTCTTCTAAACTCTCTAAATTCAAATTAATCGTAATAAAGATTATTTATTTATTCCATTACTTTGGAGCAAATAAGACAATAGAATGTGGAAAAAAAGGAGGAGGAGTGCTCAATATCACTGCAGGGCCTGTATATATAGGTAAGGCAGGATAGGAGGGTTGCTAATCAAAATAGGCTTGAGAATTACTTTCTGAGAGAAGTTGCCAAATCCCTTCCATGTTGGTAAACAATCTCATGCTAAACAGCAACTGTCTTCCTGATAAGTTAACATGACCTGATCATCCAAAACTGGTTACCAAAGACCAGGTGTTCTTTGTATCTTACCACGAAGCCAGAATTTGCTGGGAGGTTTTTTTTTTTCGTCTTTTTATCATAATACTGGATTCATCATCATTTTACTAGACATCTTTCTCCTCCCTCCCCACTGTTTTCACAAACAGTTCCAAAAGAGGAACAAACAAATCATTTGAAGAGAGCTAATTATGGATCTGTAAAAAGAATTTAAAAGCTAAACAAACAAGACCATTCTTGGAGACACATGGAACCAAAAAGATAGATTGCTTGAAATGTTGTATTTCCATATTTTAAAGTGAAACTGCTCAATACTATTAATAACAACTTAAATAGGAACACAACAAGAGCATTTACAATCCAATTATATGATTAATGAAAAATAAATTCCTTGATGTCATAAAATTCTATTTTTCAAATAGATGTATGTGTTTCCTGGAAGATAACCATGCCTTCTAAAAAATTTCTTTTCTGAAGCATGGTTTTAACAGTGACTGTTGAAAGAAAATCTGTTTAAAAATTCTAAAGATATAGGTTAGTATGTGAGTTACACTCCACAAATAAACACTAAAGAAAAGACTAAACACATTGCAAGATAAGAGACTCATAATGGGAGAATTAGGCGGCCAAAATGCAAATATAAACATTTCTTTCTTTTCTCCTTCATGTAGGCAAATGAATATGGTTAAATATGAAATTCTCTCAATTTTTCTTGTCTTTCTAGCAAAAGCTCAACTGATTCCTGAGGCATGTGGCTTTGTTCTCAACTGGCAACCCAGAAAAAGTGAACTTTTCAGACTTGTCAGGAAGTACATCTTGAACTCACCACTACCGCACACAAATTAAAAGCTGCATTCATAGAAATGCTATTTGTCAGATGCACAGTTTGCAAATAGTTTCTCTCATTCTGTGGGTTCTCTGTTTACTCTGTTGATAGTTTCTTTTGCTGTGCAGAAGCTCTTAAGTTTAATTAGGTCGCATTAGATCAATTATTTCTTTTGTTGCAATTGCTTTTGGCGTCTTTGTCATAAAATCCTTGCCCCCATTCCTATGTACAGGATGGTGTTGCCTAGGTTGCCTTCCAGGGTCTTTATAGTTTTAGGTTTTGCATTTAAGTCTTTAATCCATCTTGAGTTGATTTTTGTATATGGTATAAGGAAGGGGTCCAGTTTCAATCGTCTGCTTATGGCTAACCAGTTATCCCAGCACAATTTTATTAAATAGGGACCCCTTTCCCCATTGCTTGTTTATTCAGCATCTATAAGGAACTTAAACAAATTTGTAGGAAAAAACAAACCACCCCATTAAAAAGTGGGCAAAAGAATGAACAGACACTTTTCTGAAAAAGACACATGTGGCCAACAAGCATATGAAAAAAAGCTCAATATCACTGATCATTAGAGAAATGCAAATAAAAACCACAATGAGATACCATCTTACATCAGTCAGAATGGCTATTATTTAAAAAATCAAAAAATAACAGAAGCTGGAGAGGTTGTAAAAAAAAAAGGAGGGAACACTTATATACTGTTTGTGGGAGTATAAATTAGGTCAACCATTGTGGAAAGCAGTGTGGCAATTCCTCAAATTGCTGAAAACAGAACCACCATTAGACCCAGCAATTCCACTACTAGGTATATCTGCAGAGGAATATAAATCATTCCACTATAAAGACACATGCATATGAATATTCATTGCAGCACTATTCACAATAGCAAATATGTGGAATCAACCTAAATGCCCATCAATGACAGATTGGATAAACAAAACGTGGTACATACACACCATGAAATACCATGCAGCCACAGAAAAGAATGAGATCATTTCCTTCTCAGGGACATGGATGGAGCTGGAGGCCATTATCCTTAGCAAACTAATGAAGGAACTGAAAACCAAATACAACATGTTCTCACTTATAAGTGGAAGCTAAATGATGAGAACTTATGAACACAAAGAAGGGAACAACAAACACCGGGGCCTACTTGAGAACGGAGGGTAGGAGTAGTGAGAGGAGCCGAAAAAATAACTAATGGGTACCAGGCTTAGTACCTGGGTGATGAAATAATCTGTACATCGACCCCTCATGGCATGAGTTTACCTATGTAACAAACCTGCACATGTACCTCCAAACCTAAAATAAATTTTATTTTAAAAAAGAAGTGCCATTTGTATACAGCTGCCTACATTGTATGTAGCTCCAGTTTTTGTGATATCTACCTGATGATTAGGTTAGACTACGAGACCTAAGCTGAGTCTTCTCCTTCTCATCACTTGCAGGATTTTTCATCACACACATAACTAATTTGTCGATGTCAGTTTCAGTAAAAAATTGTAAGTTTGATGAGGGCAGGAGGCTATGGCTCTTGCTCACTACTATTCTACTGTTCCATTTCCTGCCTGTTGCAGAATACAGAGGACACATTAAATAGATGACTACTGAATGAATAAACTTTAGACTTGCTTTCACTGACTTTTGCTTTCTCAAGATGCTACAACTAGTTTTTATTATACTTACACGTGTGTTTACCATAGGCTATAGTTAAGAAACATATTTCCTGGGATTACACAGTGTTCTATTACAACCCAGGAGATAAATTTCCTATAAGCCTGAATACCCTGAAATAGTTGCATATCTCCTGAGAAATCTATTTATTCTCTTGATGTTGACTCTGTGTATCTTGGAATTGTTTCCATCTTTGTATTGGCTGCTAGAGAGCTAAAACCTAAATCTGCAGCCCAAGTCTCACAGGCACATAGGGGTTCACAATAGGCATTTGGTTCCACAGTTACTCTTTTCTCCACCCTTCCCTCCTTCTCTGGCTTTCCTTTGGCTTTCATTTCCCTCACTTAGTTTTAAATCTATTTTATGTATCTTTGTAAGTCACCTTAATTTCTTTTTGAAACAAGGTAGGACACAAATAAATTGATTTTTTCCCTTCATGATAGAAGTTATTAACTTTGCTGAAGAGGAGAGTGGGCCAAGGAAGACAAAATATAGACTTCAGCAATGTATGGCTGATTTTAAGAGACCTTGGGGATACCTTGTGAAGAGAAGATACTATTTCTAACCCACATTGTATGGTTTTAGTTTTATGTAGAGCACAAGGCAATTGTACAATGTCAACCCTTTTTATTATGTTATATCATTATGTTAATGCTACAAAATATCTAAAAATTAAAAAAGAAACAAAGGAATGTAACTGGACCTGAAGAAGCTTCACTTTTACTTATGGTCAGAACATTAGAAATAAAGAAAATTGATGAAACTGTAAAAATATATGAAAACCATTGGTACCAAGCAGACAGAATAAACTCTCACTCTTGAATTATGTTTTGAGATACAGCACCCTCCCCTCCATCCTCCTCTCCTTCTCAGAGAAAATTATCAATTTTTCATGAGAGGTAGATTCTCAAGAGACAGAGAAATAGACCAATGCTAGATAAGAGCAAATAATCATAATTTTTAAAGAACTAATACTTCAGTTGAATAGTTTATGCAGAAATGCAGTTGCATTTTATCATAATCTCACAAAATCATGATAATTGTCAATCTGAATATAGGATATTTATCTGTTTGTTATTACTAACCCTACAACTACATATCAGGTGCATTTAACTGAAAGGAAGAAACAATGACAAAGGAAAGCATGCACATGTGTGTGCATGCACGCAGACACACACACACACACACTCTCTCTCTCTCTGTCATCTGCCCCAAATAACAAAAGCATCTCTGCCACAAGAATTGTGCCCATCTCTGCTCCAAGTACAGATAGAGAACTACCGCCAGTCTATTTTAGCACACCCATTTAAATTCTGTACATCTTTATAAATGCAGTTATCATTACCATTGTTGCCTTATCACTCTCCATGATTGCTCTCTTTCAGTCAAGTACAAAGACAGCCTGACTATAAATGTTTTGTCATAAAACTGCTATTCAAACAATAAAAAAGGGTTATAATAGTACTAAAAATAATTTACCCCCAAGGCTGCTGTATAGACTGGCAGTGTGCAGATTGAGGGGCACAAAATACCTCCAGCCACATTCTCACTACCCTCTAGACGCTTCTGCATCTGTACCTATATCTGCATGGTTTCAAAGACATTTCAGACATTATCACATGGCCAGAATATCTAGGACCTTTTCAGTATATGATTTTTAAACATGAAAATCATTTTTAGCAAAATTATCATTATTGTACTTAAGAAATAAGAGATAAATTAGATAGAGCATTTGTATCTTTCAAATAGAAAGCTACTTTTAAATTCTTTAGTTTGGGAGCAGCTGGGTAAAAATGCATTGTGTGTGTATATATATAATAAAATATATTTTATACAACATATTACATATCTACATCATAGATACATGTATATATATCACACACAAATATACATATAACACATACTCATGTCATATATAGAAACATACATATATTACATATACATACATACATCATATATAACATATATATTACATACATATATATATTACACATATACACATACACCCACATATAAAATCTTTACTTTGAAAATGCTTTTGATGGCATCAGGACCGGCTGTGCACTGCCACCCAGGGGCTGTCTACAACATTTTAATACTGCTATCTTGCCAAGAGGCATTCAAAGTCATTACCGAATGCATCCTGGACAGTCCTTCATTGTAGTTGTTAGCATTCCCATTGCATTTTCCTGTAGTTTTGGTGTCATTTCCCATATCATGAATGCACATTTCAAAGAAAGGCAGAGAAAAGAAGAGAAAAAAGAATGCCAAACAAGCAAAAGACCACCTAGAAGGAAACAAATTATACTGACAAGGCTGACGAAAAGGAGTAAGAAAAGGGGAAAGACAGGAAGGAGGAGGTTTATCAGGGCTTCATGCCCACTGCTCTGGGTAAATATCCCTCCTTGTAACAATAAAGAAATAAAGTACAAAGAAAGGATAAAGCAGAAGATTACAGACCTGGTCGGTGTTTGATAAATGGCACTCTACTTCACTTTGCTTATTGTGTACTTCATACCTCACTCCTGAATATGGAAGAGAATTTTATTAAAGATTTAGCCACGGTGGTGGTGGTGACTGGCTCACAGTAATTTTCCTACAAAGTAGTTTAATCTATCACAGGGCAGACAGTGCACCTTCTTACCATGTATCATATCTGTCTATTGAGTAAGTGCTATCCAAATCCAATTTCTTTTCATTTTTGGAACCTGTGATGCATATTCAAGATACACTTTCGTTTTGTCTTTGCCCTAAATTGGGCGCTGTATGAGATGGGAGGAAAAAAGTACTAATAAAAAGGAAATATGCACTCTATAGTTTCCATATCATTCTGGTCATTTTTTGTATTTTATAAAAATAAATTGCATAAGTTTAATGGCATATGATATTGACATGTAGAGTCCCCAAAACCTTTTATATTTATGAATATGAATATGAAGCATTGCATCACTGATTATAAAATGAACTTAGAAAATCATTATAGTCAAGTTCCAGTTTTAATCTTTGTGAAGTTGTTCCATTCAATAATGAGGTGACTCGTCCAATAATATGGAAACTGTTTCAACCAAAATCATTCAGCAGTTCATTATGTGGTAAAATGTAAATCCAGAAATGTCATAAGCAAGGTACCTTCAGAGTGCTCCGTTACGGAATCACAGAAATTAGAAAAGCCCTGTGAGGTCACTCACTTCATCTGTTCCTGGTATCAGGGTGCTCTCAGCAAAATATTTTCAAATATAGAGTCTATTCTCCCATTATGAGATTCTATTATTTCTCCTTTCATTGCATTACTTTTTTCACTATGATGAATTGTTTTCTAACCTGACAATCATTGCCTTTAAACGTTATTGGACTTTTTGTAACAAATAAATAATTCTGCCCTTACCTACTTGTAACTAATCCCTCTTATTACTGCTATATCCTTCTTACAGACACTCTTTAAAACAGACCTCAAACATTTTTTAAAAAAACAGAAGGCTAACTAACATATATTTTGGCCAGTAAAAGGTACATGAGAATCACTAACTAGTATTGTCTGAAAGTTCCCTAGAGGATCCAGAGATCTTAGACAGTCACTTCCTATCTACTAACAATGTAAAAAGTATACCTATCTGTTCAATTTCCAAGCTTTTTTCACTCTCAACAACTTGTTAATCAGTACACTTGGTTTAGCCCCAAATACAAACATAAAATTTTGGAAAAATTTAAAGTAGCTCTTATTAGGAAGAGTTTTAGCACCACCCTCTTACCCCCGCAACCTCATCCAAGTCCTATACTTTAAATATGAGAAAATAATTAAATCCTAGAAAGTAATTTATGTGGTAAAACAACTGATTAATTTACAATTAGAAAGCATAGATTTTTAAGTCTAAAAAGAGTCTCAGATTCTGTGACCTCTGGTAAACCATTAGCTTTCCAAGACCCAATTACTTGCCTATAAAATAGAAATAACAATATGAACAATATGAACTCAAACATGAGTTAACATGGGAATGAAATAAAGTATTTTAAAATGCTCTTAGCACAATGCCAGGCACACAGTGAGTGCTCGAAAAATGATGCCAATTAGTACAAAATGAAGCCTAGAAACCAGCATTTAATAGGATTTCCTTAGGCACATTTATTCATGCCACTTTTTGTCTCTCCTCGCCTATATATTATGAATCAGTGGAAAGGCAAAATTAAGCTTGTGTTTAAAACTACATAAAAGAAATTTACTTATCAAGACATCCAAAATGTATTGCAACTAAAGATCTTTAAAAAGGTATGAATATATAAAATAGTGCCCGTTAGATATCGCAGAGTAAAAATTTAGCCCAGGTTCAGGGTAATGAGGAGATTACATATCAGCATTGCAAAGAACCAGATTTTTTTATCAGTTTCATAAAATATATTGACAATAAAATGTTTGCATGTTGCAAACTGTTGCAAAAGTGCAAAATCTTGCACTTCTGAACATAATACTATAATTTTTGTTACTTTTTAAAAAGAAAATGCATTTTTCATAACTTAAAAATAATACATGTAGTGAAGAAAATTTTCCAGAGCACAAAATGTGAAGAAAAAAAGTCATTCAAAATCCTACTACCCAGAAAAAAAATTGCTTTTAACATTTTGATGAAAATATTTAAATCTTTTTAATGTATATTTTATTGTTATTTAATATGAAATTGGGTTTATCGTATGTGTGTGTTGTTAGGGAGAAAGATTATATGCCCTTTTATAGCCTACCTTTTTTTTGCAATTATAAATGGTGAGCATTTATCCATACCATTATATATTCTTAAAAACATGATGTTAAAGTAGCATATTATAGGGATATGTCAGTACTTTGCTAAGCTTCCATTTTATTGTAAAATATTTATACTGCTCCCAGTAACTCTTTAATAAGCATCTTTTATTTCTATGACACTCCCTTCAAAATAGAATTTTCTGTCATCAATTAAAGTAAAATCTCCTTGAAGCCACAACTCTTGCCCAACTGGTAGTTGATTTCAACTACCCCCACCATATTATGGATATTCAATAAGAACCACTCTAAGAAATATGTCCCCACCAATTAACATTCAATAAAAATATTTCTCCTTTCAAACACTATGAAACTGATTCACACATTCATACTACTCCGAGTTCCTCATAGTGCCATAATAAATTTTGCATGAAAAACTTAATAATTACAGCTAAATATGGCCCCCTCTCTCTGGAAATTTTTTCTATAAACCGTGGGACTTTATAAATACCAATACAATCAAGATACATCTATAAATTCACCTGTTTTGTTAACCATTGTAATGCCTAGATGACTCTGTAACATGAAAAGATACGGTTGACAACAGGAAAAACTGTCCTGTTTCACATAGATTGCAAAAACGTTCACATTTTTTAAATGTCATCTCTTAAAAACCCAAAACATCATATTTCTGATAGGTGTTTCACACTCAAAGAGCACATTTGCCTTATACATTTACACAATTTGGGGATTTAAATTTGTAATGGCAATCAAATAAATCAAACATTTAAAATAATTTTGGATCTAATATATGCCAACTGCATTGGGCTGGGGAACTTCCTATCTGAAGATTGATTTAAGAGTAATTTTGAAGTCAGGTCATTATCATAACAAAGAAAAAGAACCAAATTACATCACGTCAAAAGAAAAAAAAAAACAGAAAGTTGACCATTTTAAGAATGATTGTAACTATCCTTGGGGGAATAAATGGGCAAAAATAGATTTTTTGAAAAAAAAATTAAATAGAAGTCTTTTCTTAAAAAAAATTAAAGTGTGTGCTTACACATGTTAAACTAATGCTATAAGATATTTCTTCTATTCATTGCCTTTAAATTCCTTCTGGTCTAACTCTTCCAAAGTAAAAAGCATTCTATTGCAACAAAAGAGTTTTATTTTAATACTGCTTTATTTAAATTCAAAGCAGAGGGTTTATAAGGCATAAGCACCAGTTATAATGAAAGACAGTGCTTTTGGAAACCATGAGTCTTTTATCTAGTCTTTTAAGATTTATTCACTAGCACAGAAGCTTGCCACCGAAAGTGAGGATTTAGACCGATTAAACTAGAGTTATACAGAGATGATTTGGAATTTTGGAACTTTGGAAAATAAGTTTATTTTCACACTTCCAGTAGAATCAGTTACCAGGTTAGTAATACAATTAAACTGCCATGTCAGGAGCAGACATTTTATGCAGTGTGCAAGACTGTACCTACTACTGCACAGCGCCACCTGGCAGCAGGATAAAGAATTGTGTCACTGCGGCCTCCTGAGAAGACTCACTAATTGGTACAGTACACTGTGTTCTCCTGAAAGTTCCCAACTGATGCTGACCTCATTTTCCTCATTAAAAATGGACACATTCACATACCAAGTCTGAAAAGCTGGAGGTTTTGCTCAGTTGGCTTTTGTTATTTGTACTTTTTAAGCATCTTAATTTAAAACACCTCATTTTCAAAGAATATCTTCACTCCAGCTGATCACAACTGATCATGATGAATGTGTCCACATTTTTCAAAAATAATTTGTCATCAGTTTTTATGTAGATCATCACAACAAGTTAATTTACAACAATGACACAAAGAAAAATCAGGTGTTCAGTGGAATGTAGCTATTTGCCTCTTTGGAGAAGAAACACCACCCAAAAACAATAATAGCCTTTCATATTCCTGTGCTTGAATCATTCCTGTTTTTATTTATGTGTTTATACACATATAAACATATGCATTTGTACCCTGCATATGCATATAAACACATTATTTGTACATGTTAACATGAACAAAATCTTATTAAATCCTTTCAACTTTCTTTTCACAATGATTTACTTGTAAATTGAATACATGTAAACTAGAGACACTCACAAAAGAAACACTTAAACAGTAACTGTTTCCATAATCCAATGAAATGTACATAGTTTTATTTATTTTTTTGACTATTAAAAAAATAGTCCTAAACAATTATCATTTGTCATCCCCATTTCTTCATAGTTTCATACTAAGAAAAAGGGGGTAGAGTGGGGAGAAAAGAAATTGATAATGATTATCTTCAGAGTTCAATTACAACTGAAATTCCAAAACTAGTACTGTCAATTCAATGAGCAAAATATTGGGCTGGGTTCATATTCATATTTAGCTTGCTAGATAATTCTGATTGAAGAGCTTAGAAACCCTCCCTGTGTTGCATTACAGATTTTGAGCCATAAAAAACACTATTTGACAATGCCTTAACTTGTGGGGCAATTGTCACCTAAGAAAAAAAATGAAATGTATTATTTCAAATTTTTTTCCTATTTTTTAAATTTGTGAATATATAGTAGGTCTATATATTTTGGGGTACATGAGATGTTTTGATACAGGAATGCAACGTGAAATAAGCACATCATGGAGAATGGGGTATCCATCCCCTTGAACATCTATCTTCTGAGTTACAAACAATCCAATTACACTCTTTATTTTAAAATGTACAATTAAGTTATTATTGACTATAGTCATCCTATTGTGCTAGCAAATAGTAGGTCTTAATCATTCCTTCTATTTCTACTGTTACCTCTATTCCTACTATTTTACATTCCTTCTATTCCTACTATTTTATTTGTACCCATTAACCATCTCTACCTGCCCCTGGGTCCCCGCTACCCTCCCAGTCTCTACTAACCATCCTTCTACTCTCTATGTCCATGAGTTCAATTTTTTTGTTTTTAAGATCCCACAAATAAGGGAGAACATGAGATGTTTGTCTTTCAGTGACTTGCTAATTTCACTTAACATAATGATGACTGGATCTCGTTCTTTTTATGACTGAATAGTACTCCATTGTGTATATGTACCACATTTTCTGTATCCATTCCTTGGTTGATGGACACTTAGGTTGCTTCTAAATCTCAGCTATTGTAACCAGTACTGCAACAAACATAGGGAGTGCAGATTCTCTTCAAACTGATTTCATTTCTTTTGTGTATATACCCAGCAGTGGAACTGCTGAATCATATGGAAGCTCAATTTTTAGTTTTTTGAGGAAGCTCCAAGCTGTCCTCCATAGTGGTTGTACTAATTTACATTCCCATCAACAGTGTACAAGAGTTCCCTTTCACCACATCCTCACAAGCATTTGTTACCTAAGGCCAATAATGCTTAGATCTGCCCTTTTGAGACTATTTTCTACATCTTATAGGAGTACTTCAGTGTTTTTTATTCTTTCATAAAATGTATTCTTTTCACTTTGTGCTTCTAGCCTTTTCTTCTGTTGTTTCTCAAAAACAAAAGTTTACCTTAGAACCAATCAGAACACTCCCAGATCCTTGATATTTAAAAGCTGACAAAAGTATTTGTCCAGTAAAAATATAATAGCAAGTTGAATATAGCGCATTTCAGATTATACACCCAAATTGTACCTTTTTCTTTAGATTCCTTAGTGGTACATAAGAGATAGCAAAAACATGTTATAGAAAAGACATACATATCGGTAAATTACTTAAATCATTTTTTGTGGATGTGCTTCCCTTCCTTCCTCGAAGCTCTGGGTTGGAACAGCAATCACCACATTAAGAAAAGAAACAGGCAAACAAAAGTGGTGTTCTTCCTGGCCTACCCGTCCATATGTGCTTCCCCCACGTTGGTGGAGTATCTTCCCAGCTGATTTTAGGGATAAGCCCCTCAATTCAAAATTGGGGGTGGAGGGAGGTGCAGAGAAGACAGGAGAAGGCTTATTCAGAAATGCTTATAACCTCACGCTCACATTTAATCTGAGGAACCAGCACACCAGGCCTGAATCATGGCCTACATGGTTGCCCTCAAGGACTGCCCTAAGCAGAGAGGCCCCAGACTCACATGTCTTGAAACACAGACACGCAGATATAGATGCAAGACACAGGATGTGTCCTGGATACCTCTTAAGTCTTACTTCACATTATCTTGGCTCACTGTTTTACTGCAACTTTTGATATGGGAGACAACTGCTTTCAGGAAGCCCCTCACCTCAGGGCCACTCTGTGCCTCCGGCAAAGCCAGCTACATAATTTGCAGGGGTCCAGTGGAAAATTAAAACACAAGTTCTTTTGTTCATAAATAATTATGAATTTTGAAACAGTAAGAGCAACAAGCATTAGGACCTTCAAAGTGTGGGTG